>NC_000010.11:83173398-83324913 GCF_000001405.40 Homo sapiens
ATGTATTGAAAAGTAGTTGTAGTTATTATTTTTAATTGGTTCATGGTTTAGAGTTTCTACTTAGCATAAGAGTAGCTTACACACCACAGTTACAGTGGTATAATATTCTGTGTTTTTCTGTGTGCTTACTATTACCAGTGAGTTTTGTACCTTCAAGTAATTATGTATTGCTCATTAATGTCCTTTTCTTTCTGATTGAAGTACTCCCTTTAGCATTTCTTGTAGGAAGGGTCTGGTTTGATGAAATCCCTCAGCTTTTGTTTGCCTGGGAAAGTCTTTATTTCTGCTTCATATTTGAAGGATATTTTCGCTGGATATACTATTCTACAGTGAAACTTTTATTACTTTTATTTTCCTTCAGCATTTTAAATATGTCATGCCATTTTCTCCTTGCCTGTAAGGTTTCCACTGAAAAGTCTGCTGCCAGATGTATTGGAGCTTCATTGCATGTTATTTGTTTCATTTTTCTCATTGTTTTCTATTCTTTTTTGTCTCCTCTGATTGAGTATTTTCTTTTCTTTTCTTTCTTTGACAGAGTCTCATTCTGTTGCCCAGGCTTGAGTGCAGTGGCGTGATCTCAGCTCACTGCAACCTCTGCCTCCTGGCTTCAAGCAATTACCACGCCTCATCCTCCAGAGTAGCTGGGATTACAGGTGTGTGCCACCATGTCCAGCTAATTTTTGTATTTTCAGTAGAGATGAGGTTTCACCATGTTGGCCAGGCTCATCATGTACTCCTGATCTACCTGCCTCGGACTCCCAAATTGCTGGAATTACAGGTGTGAGCCACTTCATCCAGGCTTGACTGTGTATTTTCAAATAGCCTGTATTTAAGCTCACTAATTCTTTCATCTGCTTGGTCATTTCTACTGTCAAAGGACTCTGATGCATTCTTCAGTATACCAATTGTATTTTCAAGCTCCAGAATTTCTGCTTGACTCTTTTTAATTATGTCAATTTGTTTGTTAAATGTATCTGATAGAATTCTGAATTCCTTCTCTATGTTATCTTGAATTTCTCTGAGTTTCCTAAACACAGCTATTTTAAATTCTCTGTCAAAAAGGTCACATATCTCTGTTTCTCCAGGAATTGTTTGTGGTGCCTTATTTAGTTCATTTGGTGAGGCTGTGTTTTCCAGGATGATGTTGATGCTAGTAGATGTTCTTTGGTGTCTGAGCATTGAAGAGTTAAGTATTTATTATGGTCTTAATGTCTAGCCTTATTTGCAGCTTCCTTCTTGGGAAGGTTTTTGAGATAACTGAAATGACTTGGGTGTTATGATCTATGCTGGTTCTGCTTCAGGGGGCACCCCAAACCCAGTAATGCAGTGGTTCTTGCAGACTCCTAGAGTTACTGCCTTGATAGTCTTGGATAACATCCAAGAGAATTCTCTAGATTATCACGCAGAGACTCTTGTTGTCTTACCTTATTTTCTCCCAAACATATAGAGTATCTCTCTCCATTCTGAGCCACCTAAAGCTAGAGGTGGAGTGATAAGCACCCCCATGGCCATCACCACTATGGCTGTGCGGGGTCAGAACTGAAGTCAGCACAGCACTGGGTCTCACCCAAGGCCCGCTATAACCACTCCCTGGCTACTGCTTATGTTCACTAAGGGCCCTTAGGTTCCACAATCAGCAGGTGGCAAAGCCAACCAGGACTGTGTTCTTCCTTTTAGGTTGGTGAGACGCTCCAGGCCCTGGGTGGGTTCAGAAGTGCTATCTGGGAGTCAGAGACTAGAGTCAAAAACCTTAGATGTCTACCTGGTATGCTATTGTATTGTGGTTGTGCTGGCACTCAAACCACAAGATACAGTCCTTCCCCCTCTTCCCTACCCTTTTCAAAGGCACAGGGCCTCACCTTGTAGCCACTGCTACCCCTGGCCAAGAGGACTACTGTCAGATTATCACCAATGTTTCCTTAAGGCCTAAGATCTATTAAGTCAGCTTGTGGTGAATGCTGACTGGCCTGGGACTCACCCTTCAGGGCAGTGGGCTCCCCTCTGGCCCAAGGCAGGTTCAAAATGCCATCCAAGAGTCAAGTCCTGGAGTTGGGGACCCCGAGAGCCTGTTTGTTGCTCTACCCCACTGTGGCAGTGTTGGTACCTAAAGTACAAGACAAAGTCCCCTTTACTTTTCCTTCTGCTTTTCTCAAGCAGAAGGAGTCTTGCCCTCTAGTAACCACTGCTGATAATGTGCTGAGTCTCACATAAAGCCAGCAAATCTCAGAGGCTTACCAAGGCTCTCAATGTAGTACCTGGGCATTGCTGTTGATTATTCAGAGCCTGAGGGCTCTTTAGTTAGCAGGTGATGGATGCAAGCAGAATTGGGTCCTTTCCTTCAAGGCAAGCAGATTCCTTTCTGTCCCAGGGTGTGCATAGAAATGTGATCTGGGAGCTAGGGCCTGAAACAGGGGCTTCATAGCTCTGACCAGTGCCCTATCCTTATGTGACTCAGAGGGTATCCAAGATGCAAGACAAAGTTCTCCCCGCTCCTCCCTCTTCAAGCAGAAGGAAGAGTTCTCTTTTGGAGCCATCAGCTGCACATCCTGGGGTTACTGGGGGAGGGGGGCGGTGATGCCAGCACCCCCTTGGTTTCCCCAGCTGGTGTCTCAGTATGCTGCATGCCCCATCAGTCCACTGTCTCTGCACCTAGTTCAGCCCTAGGACATGCCTAAGATTTGCAGTCCTTATACCCTAGACTGCCTTTCAAATTTACTTAGAGACAAGAGCACTTTGGCTCTCGGTGGCGAGGTTTGCAGGCACTCAAGTTTGGATTGCTGGTATGGAAGATTCCCCTCTGGCTAGGGCTGGTTTAAATGCTCCCTCTGTGGGTGGGCATCAGCTGAATTTGGTCCAGTTTTCCCTTCTGCTCTAACAGGACAGCACTGAGTTCAATGTCTCACAATTGCTGTGTTCTCCCTGGTCCCACTGTCCAGAGATGCTTTCTGCACCTTGCTGCACAGCTGGTGGGGGGTGGGGTAGGAGTGGTGGTTGGAAATTCAGGACTGTTTTTCCTATCTCTTTAGTGCCTCTTTCAGTGATATGAAGTTAAAACCAGATACTAAGAATGTTTACCTGATTTTTTGTTCTCATGAAGATGTTTTTGCTGTGTAGATAGTTGATAACTTGGTGTCCTTGCTAGGGGGAATGATGACTAGAGCTTTCTATTCTGTCATCTTGCTCCACCTCCCAGAGTTGTTCTTTTTAACAACAGTTTTTGCTTATTTGTTTATTTGATTATTTCTTTATTTTTGTAGCTAAGCTGACATAATACCTAAATGCAATGTGGAATGCTGGATTGAGTCCTGAAACAAACAACAGGGTCACTATTTAAACATTCTGGTGAAATCTAAATAAAGTCTACAGTTTAGATAATAATGTTGTACCAATGTTAATTTCTTAGTTTGATTAATGGCTATACAGGATATTAATAAAGTCATGTAAAATAGGTTATTTGTAATAGGAAATTTTTATGATTTACACAACTCTTCTGTTAATTTTAAATTGTATCAAAATGATAAGTTTTAAGAAACAATATTGTATACTTAAAAGGTAGAAATTGGTTCCAACTTTAGTGATTTAAATGTGATACAAATGGTAGTCTCCATGATAGTTCCATTCAATTCACTGTCTGGCACTAACAAAAATCAGATCGATTGTTCCAGTTAATGATGCACTACTCTAAACATAACTAAATAGTAGCTCCAATTACAACTACTTTGCCAAACATGATGTCTTTGCTAGAACTGATTAACACAATCACAGGGACACGGTATGTAGCCCTTGATTGAGGAAATGCATTAAATTTCCAATCTTTTGAGAATGGAGAATAAGAAATAATTCATATCAATGTGGGATGAAAATAGTGTACCTTACAGTCTTGTCCTAAGTTATATATTAACTTTTCCATCTTATGTCCAAAAATATTCTGGAGGGACACATTTACTAAATGCCTCAATAGGAAAATCATAGTTAGACTTCCATGGAAGTTTCTGCCTTGCAGTGGGAAACTAGACACCATTTGACAAAGTGCTACTAATTTGCTGTTGCATTGTGATAGAGGGTCTGGCTATGGACATCATTTGATCATTTGGCCATAGCTACAGTCTGTCAAACTCATGAAGTCATAGGTTGGGTCACTTCAACAATTCATTGTAATATAGAAGCGGTAAGTCCAGGTATAACATAAATACGGTGGCATAGCTGCATGAGCAGATAGCCCAGACCTTCTCATCATTTACTAATGTTGTGTTGGTACCTTTCCCTCAATTCATGCCTATGGGGGGATTCCTTTTGACTATCTGATAGAGGAGGAAAAGGCCAAACTTCAGATATATGGCTATCCACGTTGTGTGAAGGGAGAAGCAGTGCAAGATAAGAATGCAAATGGACAAATAAGCAATGGCAAATGATTGGCTGGCTTTCTGCGGGCCTAGAAGGAGAACAGTTAAAAGATTAATGATAAACGGATCTGGAAAAGATACATATGGATGCATGAATGGAATTTGTATTAATCTGTTCTTACACTGCTATAAAGAACTACCTGAAACTGGGTAATTTATGAAGAAAAGAAGTTTAATTGATCCATAGTTCCACAGGCTGTACAGGAGGCATGGCTGGGGAGGCCTCAGGAAACACAATCATGGAGGAAGGTGAAGGGGAAGGAGGCACATCTTCACGTGGCAGCAGGAGAGAGAGAGAGGGAAGGGGACATGCTACACACTTGTAAATAATCAGATCTCTTGAGAACTCACTCACTAGCATGAGAACAGCAAGGGGGAAATCTGCCCCCATGAGCCATTCACCTCCCACCAGGTCCCTCCCTCAGCATTGGGGATTACAATTCAACATGAGATTTGGGTGGGGACACAGAGCCAGATCATATTAGAAGTAGTCACAAAGTTTGAAGACTTTGTAATGTATATTACAAAGCATGAACAATAGAATGAATACTGAAATACACAGTAGTCCAAGTAACTAATTATTTGGCTTCAGTCAGCCCTTGTGTTCTTCCACCCATTTCTAATATGACGAACTCAGAAATGCAGTAGCCATAGTGTCAGAGATGGAAGCTGAGCATGGTCCCTAAAGCATGTGTTTCCATTCACTAAGACTGATCTAGCTACTGCTTCTGATGAATGTCTAACTTGCCACAACACAAACTAACACTCTACACTCCAAGAAGATGTTATTCACCAGAAATGGCAATCTTAGTACATTAGATCTCTTCTACCTTAGAAAGTAGCTGTTCATCTTGACTGGAATTAACATATATTCTGCATATGAATTTTCCTTTCCTGCCCACAGGGCCTCAGATAGCACACTTCTAAGAATATTCAGAATATTTGATGTATCTGCATCAACAATGAATTTTGCATAACAACAGAGCAGACCAAGGGATCAACTTTTACCAAAGGAGATGTGTTGGTGGACATATGATCATGGGTGTCATATTACATATGATGCCACCCCAAAACTGCTGCCCTAATGCAGCAAGGGACTAGCCTCTTAAAGACACAGCTGAGATATCAGCTTGGAAATGGTGGCATGTAAAATTTCTAGTAGGTGGAATAAATAAATCCAGAAACTACGGAGGTAGAAGTAGTAGCAGCTTGTAATTACGGTTAATCCCAATAACTTAGGTAGGAAATTTGTGCTTCCATTCTCTACGACCTTAGAATCTGGGGATTGAGAGATTCTTGTTCCCAGAGGAGTAACACTTCTGCCGGGTCCTAGAGTTAGAATCCTCTTTAATTTTATTTTCAGGCTTTTTCTTGCTCACTTCAAGTTCTTTGCACTAAGAGACCAGGGAGAAAGAGAGAAGTCAACATTCGGCCTGGGGTAATACACCCAGATCATCACTGGGTACTAGGGCTAACAGGAGTAAGAATGAATAAATTCAGTGCCCAGATGATCCATTTAGGAGTCTTTTGGTAATTCTTTACTCAATGTTTATGGTAACTGAACAAGTACAGCAAAGCCTGCTAAAAAATTTTCATTTTCTAATTTACCCAAGGAAAGGTGATCAACTGGAATTCTGGAAGAACTTTTCTTAGACGAATGCACTTACTACACAAACTCAAGTGACCCATGTTGTGGACGATAGTGTATGTCATATTTCACTGCCCTAATCTCTCCTTTCATGACTGAGATACTCATTCCTCTAGCTTCTGGGACTGCTGCCTACTAATGGCTCACAGCTGACTACCTCTCCAGACATTAACTTTTGCTGAAGGAAACCACCTCGACCAAGGATACTTCTAATATTTTGGTGATTACACTGGCTGTTCAAAAGTAAGCCCTTATGTAAATGTTTCTACCATGGCCTAGTTTAAGGTATCAATAATTTAACAACCAGGTAGCGAAATACTGGGTATTTAATAATTGGCTCTCTTGAGCCAGTATAAACAGGTTCCAATACTCCACTGACTTACAGGCTTACATTACTCTCTTTGGGAGCAGTCTGTATCCAGTGACTACTCAATTCAGGGGTACTGGAACAAATATGAAGGTCTAATCCAGCTCTAGAATCCCGCTGCTACATTCCTTCAGGTTAACCTATTCTCTGCCCAATCTTCCTTCTCTGCCTCTTACAGGTAATTTTGCGGAAAATATTTATAAACTCATTGAACATAAATCTTCATCTCTGAGTGTGTGTTCAGGTTCCCAGACCTAGGACACAGTAACCACTGAATAAATCCCCATGATCTTCTCTCATTAAACATTTATTTCTGGCAATTAAACTTATTTTTTAGGAAGCAAAAAGTGAATGATTGTAATAGATTTTCCACATGCTCTAAGTACCAGTAAAGAGTCAAACAGAATTAATTAAAAAGGCAACAGACAAAAATTTTAGATATGCAAATGCACTGTGCCCATATAGTAGACATGTTCTCATTTAAGACTTGGGATGTGATATGGTTTGGCTCTGTGTCCCCACTCAAATCTCATCTAGAACTGTAATGGCCATAATATCCAAGTGTTGAGAGAGGGACCTGGTGGGAGGTGATTGGATCCTGGGGGCAATTTCCCCCATGCTGTTCTCATGATAGTGCATGAGTTCTCACGAGATCTGACGGTTTTGTAAGTGTTTGACAGTTCCTCCTTCACATGCTCTTCTCTCTCCTGCCTCCATGTAAAGAAGGTCCTTGCTTCCCCTTTGCTTTCCATCATGATTGTAAGTTTCCTGAGGCCTCCCCAGCCCTGCAGAGCAGTGAGTCAACTAAACCTTTTTTCTTTATAAATTACCCAGTCTCAGGCAGTATCTTTATAGCAGTGTGAGAACAGACTACTACAGGATATTACCCAGACAAAGTTACATTTCCTTTTCTATGCAGGCTTACATAAAAAGATATTTAAAAATGTATTCTGAACCCACAATTTTGGAAATGCAAGCAGCATAGTCTAAAATGGAATTTTTGATCTGGTCAGTATGTTTTTTTCACAACAATGTAATAAACAGTTTTATAGAATCTTCATTCCAAAATTCTAAGGGAGTCTAACAAAATAAATAACTTCTCCCGTGTTCTACATCCATCAATAATAGCCTAATTTTTCCAGTATGCTATGAAATGAGAGAGTGTTAAGTCTTTTTCAAAGCATTTGACTGCCAAGTAAGGAAGAATATTGTCAAATGCTCGACTATTAATCTCAAACTTCAGCTACATAGTATTTCTAAATGTGACATTAAATAATTTCTGAGGAAAATACATTTTATACTCATTGGCTTTGAATAGATACCTTTTAACTTCTCATTATTTAAAAATATCCCCAGGATATTATATCCAGAAAAAAACGCACTATTGAAAACAATTTCACAACATTCAGATATATAAAATAATTTTTGAAAAACACGAATAACGCTAAAAGTAAAACTTAAATTATTCTGTAAGTCCCTAATAAGCCCATTCCTCACAAATGTTTCTTGCATATACAGTAAGTCCCCACTTAGCATTGTTCATACATCCTTGGATCCTGCATCTTTAGCTAAATGATGTATAATGGAACCAATTTATTTCTCATCAGAATTATAACAAAAAACAATATTGAATGAAACGATATTAGAGAATCTGTTATAATCATTTTGCTTAAACCTGCATTTTCCAAGAATCTATGAATGATGTTAAATGCAGACTTACTGTAATTCTAAAGGGATAGGTGCATATTTTGATAAAATGATTTTACCAACCTTAGAAAACTGATTTTGTAATGCACTAATTTGAAGAGAAAGGAAGATATCTTTAAAAGTATGGTAAACCTAGTTTTAAAATAATTCTAAGAATTTTTTACACTTCACAATGCTTATGCAAGCATCTGAGATTCTGTCTTGTCAAAGAGAATGAAAACCTAAAACTACCACAAGTAGGGAATAAGGAAGAGGAAAAATAACAACAATTGAGACTCTATTATGTTGCAGACACTATATTATATACATTACTGATGCTACTTCGTTAATTTTCTCCCAGATCAGTGTAGGCTGTTCTTATCTCTAGTTGATGGATTGGGAAACTAAATGCCAGTAATTTGCCAAAGTCATATAGCTGTATCTTCTCCTCCCCTGGCTCCTCATACTTAAACACAGGCAGGCCATGGGTGTAAGTTTTCTGACACCATGCTTCTCTATGTGCATCCACTCTCTAGAAGGTCACCCCAGACCAATGGCTTTAAATACATTGCCTTAGTTTTCTGTTGCTGTATAACAAATTGCCCAAAATTTAGCAGCTTAAACATAATAAACGTGATGTATTACACCTTCTCTGAGGGTTAGGAATCCAGGAGCAGATTAGCTGAGTGGATTTATTCTGGCTCTCTCATGTGGTTACGGTCAAACTCTTGACTACAGCTGAGGTCACCTGAAGACTGGACTGGTATGAAGGACTTGCTTCCAAGATGACTCAGTTAAGTGGCAGAAAACTATTCCTTACCACAGGCACTTCTCCACAGGGGAGCTTGAGTATCCCCATGACATGCCAGCAGTCTTCTCCCAAAATAAGTGTTCCAAGAGAGAGCAAGAATGAAGCCATATGTCTTCTAAAATTGACATGGATAGTTTTATATGTCAGCTTAGCTGGACCACAATGTCCAGATATTTGGCCACTTGTTTTTCTGGATTTTTCTGTAAGAGTGTTTTTGGATAAGATTAACATTTCAATCTGTGAACTTTGAGTAAAGAAAACTGCCCTCTATAATATGAGTTGATCTAATTCAATAAGTTAAAGGCTTGAAGAGAATAAAAAGACTGACCGGCCCTGAACAAGAACAAATTTTACTAAAAAATGGCTTTTGGACATGGTTCTTTCTGGGTCTCCATACTAATGATCTATGCTGCAGATCTTGGACTTTCCAGCCTCCATAACTGCATGAGCCAGTTCCTTAAAATAAACATCTCTCTCTTTGTGTGTGCTCACACGTGTGTGCACACATATGTGCATGCGCTCACACATACAAGCATAAATATTTTGGGCTCTGTTTCTCTTGAGAACCCTGATGATACAATAACCTAATTTTGGAAGTGGCATGGCATCTCTCTTGCCATTTTCTATTAGTCGCATGTACCAACCTGGTAAAATGAATGAGGAGACCAAATAAGGCTGTGAATACAAGTAAGCAGGAAACATTTGAGGCCATTCTGGAGGCTGACTATCACATCTATAATCTAATAATACCCAAATTTATGTCTTCAATTCCAACTTTTTTCTTAAAATATAGACCCCTAAATACAATTGCCTAGCTGACATCTAGACTTAGGTATAAATAAGCAGTGCTAGCTTAATGAAACTCCTGAATCACTGCCTTTCACTACCACCTATCTGTTAACCTGCTAGTGTTCTCAATTACAGTTAATAATAGTACTGATTGTTCCATTCCTCAGGACAAATCTTGATTTTGATCTTGGTTTATCACTCTATCTGTCTCACACTCCACCTCTGACCCATAAGCCTGCCAACTCTATTTACAAAAATATCCTGGTCCCAATGACTTTTTACTTTTCACAGCCTTCATAACTATCACTCTAGTTCAAGTCACTATCATCACAGGCAAATGGAACATAGAAAAGAAAATACTTTTTTTCTGCTACCATCAGCTAGGATCTAAATTTTCCAGTATGCTTTGGAATGCCGTTTTTCTTAAAATTTAAAAAAAAATGACTACGACTATATATACAGAATGCATAAGGCCTGGCATCTGGTTTTGCATGAGATACTAATTTCTGTACTTTAATAAAATTTTCCGAGTATGACCTTAGCATGATCTGACAGGGGATCAAAATGTTTACACAGACATTTTCCTTTTGTTTGTTTCAGTCCCTCTTGAACTCTTTGTCAACTACTACTTGGCATTTTGAATGGGAAGGTGTCACCGTTCATCAAATTAAAATGCACATACAAATGCATTTTAATGTGCAATGTAGGTTAAAAAGCCTCCCCCAGAAATTATATGATCCAGCTTTACAATGTAATTTTAGCATTAAGGCATTTTATCACAATAGAATTACCAGCTCTAATTTGTTTATTTCTTTTCCCTCTATCAATTAGCCTTCTGCCAGACCAGCAAGTACTTTTTCTTTTATTAATGGCACAATGGAAAAATAATCACTAAGATGGACATGGTTTGGGCCTCTGAGATTTCAGTAAATAAAGCAAATGGGGTGGAAAAGTGCTTCTTAGGTGCCCATCTCAGGCTCTGTATGGGGCATGGGTAAAGACCCCCACAGGGGGTATTTACATGACTCAGTTTGATAAATGCATCTTCTAAGAAGTGAATGTTCACACTTTATGATATAAACTAAATAAATATATCAAGGAGATTAAAGCTTAAAAATCAGAAAGAATATTGCCTTATGTCAACTCTTGTTATATAGTTCATTCTCTGGATAACTGAGGTCAGTATATTACTTATCTACAGATGTGCAGCAATTTCTCCAAAACATAGCATCCTAAGACATTTATTATCTCTTTCTTCCTCTGGGGCAGGAGGAGTCCAAGAGTAGCCTAGATGGATGGTTCTGGCTTAAGGTCTCTCACAAGGTCATAGTCAACTCTTGGCCAGGCTTGCAATTATTCAGAACTGGAGGATGAGTTTCAAGCTCACTCAAGTGGTCATAGGCAGGCTTGAGCTCCTCACTGGCTATGGTTGAATACCTCAGTTTCTTGCCATGTAGGCCTATCCATAGTGCCGTTCACAAAATGGCAGCTTGCTTTCCTCAGGCCAAGTGATCAGGACAGAGATGGTATCCAAGACATAAGCCATGTCATTCTCTAAAGTTACGCTCACAGGTGACGACAGCAGAAGTGCTGCATTCTATTCACTAGAAGTGAATCACCAAGTCCAGCCCACACTCACACTGAGGACAGTAAGGCTCCACCTCTTGAAGGGAAAAGTACCAAATAATTTATGGTAATACAGTTAAAACCACCACGGGCAGATAATCAGACACTTTAGGTCATCCCTGGCGCAGATCCGGTACCAGTTCTGACTTCTTTGCTAAATTTCCTACAAGGACTGGCACCTCTCCCCTCTGGATGTGGTATCCATATATAATTTCAAACCTAATCTCACTCTGAAACAACAATAAACTCACAGAAATAAAATGATCTGCATACTTTATCTTATAGTCATTTTCGAGTGGTTTGGAGTGCAAACTCTAGCATCTAGTTTGAATACTGGCTCTGCCATTCATTCGCTTTGCAACTTTGAAAAATGATTTCAACTGTGCATTCCTTAAATTTCTTATCTGTAAAATGCAGATGAAAACACCTACCGGGTAAATCTACTGAGATGATGAAATATTTTATTATATATAAAATGCTTAGGATATTGCCTGTAATACAGTAAATCTTTATTAATATCATTATCTTTATTATTATTATTATTATTATAGAAGTCATGCCCACCCATAGTCCCAATCATGGTACAGAAAACAGGAATGTATTCCATAGATATAAGAAAATAGTAATGAGCAGGGCTGTTTTAGGCATTGGACATTGAATAGTGAACAAAGCTGTTGAAAACCCTGCCCTTCAAGAACATCTGTATTTATGAGTTTTGCTCACATCATTCATGATTGTTTCCATAGCTTTGCTAAGAAAGATGAAATGAAGACAACTGAGTGGTCTTGATAGCAAAGCTGAACACACAGAGCAGGTTCTGCCTGGAGTGTGTCTTAGTTATCAGAAGAGTATACGGTTCATGGCTAGGTGCAGTGGCTCACGCCTGTAATCCCAGCACTTTGGGAGGCCGAGGAGGGCAGATCGCCTGAGCCCAGGAGTTCCAGACCAGCCTAGGCAACACGGTGAAACCATCTCTACAAAAAATACAAAAGTAAGCTGGGCATGGAGGTGTGTGCCTGTAGTCCCGACTACTCAGGAGGCTAAGGTGGGAGGATCGCTTGAGCCCAGGAGTTGGAGATTGCAGTGAGCTGAGATCACACTACTGCACTCCAGCCTGGGTAAACCAGCCAGACCCTACGTTAAAAAAATAAAAAAAATAAAATAAAAATAAAAGAGTATTCTGTTCCCTAGCTCTGTCTGTTCCCAAGAGCAAAGGAGAACAAGCTGCGGCTTTGCCACTGATCTGATGTGTTCTGTTCATGTGAGCAAGTCATTTAATCTTTCTCGGGGTGTTTCTCATTTACAAAATGAGAAGTGCAGGGGTTATATTACATTCTTGTTTGATTTTTTAAAAATTGTGTTCTAGAAAAGATTGGAATTCCTCAGGAATGCTTCTCGGATTCTGTAAACTTTTTGTTGGAATTTTACTTTATTTATTTACAAATACTTTATTTTCTAAAACGTCAATAAAAATCACATATGATAAAAGGGACTATTTATTATATTAATGTTAATATATTAGAGACTATATGGGTTAAGATTTGTCCTTAATACTTTATTTAATAATAAGAAAAAAAATGCCATACAGCTGAGTTTACAAAATAGATACTAAGTTGTACTTTGCTGTTTCATACAATGCAGTTCCACATAAAAGTTGAAAATAGAGTCCCATAAAATGACTTTGCAATTCATTTTTCTATATAATAATGACTAAAATTTTGAGCCATTATTATTTCCCAGAACCTGCCTTAAGTGTATAGTGTTTCATTTTAATATAAAAACAAATCTGTCATGTTGGCATTCATATCTTACTGACAGAAAGTAAAGAAACTGAGGTTAGAAAGGTAAAGTAACTTGCCAAGTTTATCTGACTTACAATAGCAGACCCAGAATTTAAATTGAGATCTACAAATATATGCTTTTACTACCACGCTAATTATTTGTAGGATTTCTTATTAAGATAACCACTATATTAATCTCTTTTCATCTGTCATATGTCACACTAGCTCTTATTATTTGCTGAGACCAGCTTGGTCGGGGAGACCCTAACTCAGTGGCGCTAGAGGAATTAAAGACACACACACAGAAATATAGAGGTGTGAAGTGGGAAATCAGGGGTTTCACAGCCTTCAGAGCTGAGAGCCCTGAACAGAGATTTACCCATATATTTATTAACAGCAAGCCAGTCATTAGCATTGTTTCTATAGATATTTGATTAACTAAAAGGTATTCCTTATGGGAAACGAAGGGATGGGCCGAATTAAAGGAATAGGTTGGGCTAGTTAACTGCAGCAGGAGCACGTCCTTAAGGCACAGATCGTTCATGTTATTGTTTGTCGCTTAAGAATGCCTTAAGCGGTTTTCTGCCCTGAGCTGGCCAGATGTTCCTTGCTCTCATTCCCGTAAACCCACAACCTTCCAGCTTGGGCTTTAGGGCCATTATGAACATGTTACAGTGCTGCAGAGATTTTGTTTATGGCCAGTTTTGGGACCAGTTTATGGACAGATTTTGGGGGGCCTGTTCCCAACAATTATTGAAGGGTGTCAGCTGAGAAGTTTGATGGTTGAATTCCAATGTAAATGACTTCTCAAGAGACAGGTCAAATAAACTGCCATGATTTTAAATAAAAATTTATTCATCTCTTCCTGTTTCAGGCCAATAATCAGTTGCAAAAACTACCTTGCTTGTTGGATTCATCCACCTCCAATGATATGTTAGATGATCAATGGCCAGTCACTTTCTAGATCTCAGGCTCAGTCTGCGTCACATGGTGAGTTACCACACTGACCCCTCCTGACCTTGGAAAGAAGTGTGGTATGAAGATGAAAGATCAAGATATTTGAAAGGCTTGGAGAGGTGGCATCTAACACATGGCTTTCATGACATCTAGGGGCCAACTTTGTCGCTCTCCCACTCTCCCTCAAGTCACTCTTACAAATTATAGCTTCAAGAAGATAAAGAATGCAGGACCTTGGGTTGGACCACATACTGCTTAAGTCATCTCCCAGATCATTTATGATCATGCTATCAGGACCATCTAAATGACCCAAGAGGTCCTGTTCCAGCTATAGGAGACAGCTATTATTGGTAATTAATAATAATAATGATGCCATTATTGTCATGTAAGAGAACCCTGCACTGCCTCTATGCTAGTGACTGTAATTTCTGCTCTTCATCCTCACAGTCACTACACACTCTATACTTTCGATGCAACCCTGCACATTCTATACTTCTGCGCCTCTTGCACTAGGCCCCTCTCATACATAAGCAATCATTTGCATTGTGACCACAATGACATTTCTAAAGAATAGACATGCTCTGCCACTCTCCTGGGGAATTTCTGCAGTGGCTCCTTCTACATCTATATTCCTCAACCTTGCATTCAAGGTCTTCATAATCTAGTCCCAGTCTACTTTTCTGGAAAATTTTGCCATTATACTTTTTGTATCTTAAATTCCAGTCTTGATTTAAAACTTAAGCACACAATTCTAAAATTACCATTTTTATACTCCGTGGTGCCTAAAACAGTGCCTGATATGGCATAAGCACCAATACTTAAGTGTTGATGAAAATGGTCTATGAACAGGTATGGTTATTGTTAACATTAAATACCAATTCTTATTTAACCTTTTAAAACATTAAACTGCAGTAGAAAAACAGAACATTGAGTTATAATGCCATAATAAATCTCAGTCTCAAACCTCCTTAGAATTTTACTTGATTGACATAACAATAAGAAAATATTCAGTAGATCAGGAAACTTAGAGGAATTTGGTAAATATTCTTAGGTCCAAGATTTAAACTGTGAATTAATGACTGGAAATTTGAGAAAAGTGCCTTCCTAAATCGTAAATGCCACATTTCTTGTTTTCTGCAGTTTGATCAGCTTACAGTTGAGCAGCACAATTAATAGCTACTATTTTCATAATGCATGTGAAAAGTAATATTTTGTCTATCTCTGTGGGTGGCATTAAGCTAGCAAAACACTCTACTTGGCATTATCTTGACACCAGTCAATGAAGCTATCAGGCAAATGAAACTACTTTTGTGATAAGCAGCACAGTAATCGAAAATTGTCATTCTTTCTTTTCCCCAGGAAAACCCGAAACTTTCATTTCAACCTTTTTTATATCACCAGGAAGAAATGAATATTTATAAAACAAGAAAAGGGCACCATCCAGGTGTCATTTTTCTCAGTGAATTATACACAATGAAGGATAATAAAACAGCTTCAAAGTAAACTCTAGTTGCTGCCATTTAGCACTAATTTTTTAGGCATTTATTCAGTTCTACAGGCAAATGTACAGGCAATGTCAGAGAGAAACGTATCTTGGTACACTTGGAGGCAATAAGTTGGGCAGGTAAGAGCTTTCTTTTCATTAGAGTCCAGCAGTTAGTGGATAAAGATGATGACTGAGTGATCCAGGCTTGAGTGCTGGACCAAAGGGCTGGAATCACCAATCAATTGAGGATAAATCTATGATACAAAGCAGGATTCATTTTACCCTAAAGGAGTTGAAAGCAGAACTCTAGATCAGCATTGTCAAGTGAACGTACAAGTTTAATGTTCTCTCCTAGAATCACACTGGATCACAAAATAGTTAATGTGAAAAAAAAAAACCACACACACAACTGTGTCAAAAACAGAAAAAGATATCTGCGGAACACCACAAAGGAAAACAAAAAATTTCTAGATGATAGAAATTAAATGATATGTGATTAATGAAGAAACTCGTCAAGGATCAATTGATATTTAAGAAAAACATTAATAAAAGAGAAGGACCAGCCAGGTGCAGTGGCTCAAGCCTGTAATCCCAGCACTTTGGGAGGCCGAGGCTGGTGGATCACGAGGTCAGGAAATCAAGACCATCCTGGCTAACACGGTGAAACCCCATCTCTACTAAAAATACAAAAAATTTGCCAGGCATGGTGGCGGGCACCTGTAGTCCCAGCTACTCGGGAGGCTGAGGCAGGAGAATGGTGTGAGCCTGGGAGGCGGAGTTTGCAGTGAGCCAAGATCTGGCTACTGCATTCCAGACTGGGCAACAGAGTGAGACTCCACTCCATCTCAAAAAAAAAAAAAAAAAAAAAAACTGAGAAGGACCAAAATGAACAATCACCTGACAGTGGAGGATACAAGAAATTCCCATAAGGACAAAAGGAATTTTAAATATTTCTAATTAGTATCATCAGAAAATTTACAAAGAGTATTATATTCACAAAATGCAATAATATTCTGTAAAGAAAAGTAAGTACTGAATTGGTTCAAAAAGCAAAAATTACAGTTCCTAAAATTTACAAAATATATATCAAATTTTATATCAAAATATACAATTTTTAAATCCATAAAAGGATGAAATAACAGATTGAAAGTAAATATGTGTCAGATCAAATTAGTATTTTAATATATAAATGTATGAAAATTTTTACAATACGGATAGAAAATATGTGAGAAAATATTAGAGATCTGGAAAACAGATCCAGAATAGATTATTTATACTATAGGCTAGAGTCCTGTATTCAATTTGTCTTTACTTTAACAGGCAATGTGATTGAGATTAAATTTGTTAGTTTTGGTTTTTAGTTTTGCAATAGTTTTTTTTTTTGAGCCAATGAAATTCTTCTTTTGAATTTATGTATTTATTTTATTTTATTATGATCAGATAATATTCTGTGAATATTTGCAATGTATATTCTATTTTGTAGATATACACTTGGCTGATAGGTAGACAGAAAGATAAAACAAAACTCATGCTGTTTTATTTTAAAAATTTATCAATTTTGAGAGTGTACTGTGTCTTATTTAGGATAAGGTAGGATATGCTGAGGTAAAAAGTTTTCAACATTTTATCTCTCCTTTGTGTTCCCTGTCTAACATGCTCTGTATATATGAAGGAACACGTCTAAGCTCCACCATAGCCACTCAAGACCCTGATGCAGAGACCTGCCTTCTTGTGGCCACGCCATGTGGAACATGTGGCCCTCACAGTTGATGGGACTGGTAAGATGTTGCTGAAGGATGATGTGCCAGCCTCTTCCGTACTTCAGCCTGGAGGTAATGTCCCACATTTCTGCCTACTGGCAATTTGCCAGAAGTAGTTATATGATCCTATCTAAGTTAAAAGGCATCTAAGAAAGGTGAAAAAATGGAATATCTGTGACTTACACGCTTTCTACCATGGTGTTTTGAAGGGTTATGCTATGACTGGAGCACCACACAGTGGTTAAGACATCAGGTTCTGGAGTCAGACTCCCTGGGTTTCATTTACTGTGTTAGTCAGCTTGGGCTGCCATAACGGAATACCATAGAATGGGTTGCTTAAACAACATAAATTTATTTTCTCATACTTCTGAAGACTGAAAAGTCCAGGATCAAGGTGCCAGCAAATTCAGTTTCTGATGAGTCCTCTCTTCCTGGCTTGCAGACGGTCACCTTCTGCTGTGTGCTCCCCTGTTCCTTGGGGCATGTACACACAGAGAAAGATCTCTGTCTTCCTCTTCTTATCAGGCCACTGATACTATCGTATTAGCACCCCAGGGCCCCACTCTTATGACCTCATTTAACCTACCTCATTTAACCTTAATTACTTCTGTAGAGGCCTTATTTCCTACTTTCAAATACAGTCATATTGAGGTTTAGAGCTTCAGTATTTAAATTTTCAGGTGACACAATTCAGTTAATGGCACGTACATTACCTTCTCTATGCTGTAGCTACAGAATAGAAATAAGTGAAATACCTACTTTATGTGGTTGTTATAAAAACAAAATATTTTAATACAAATATAGCACTTAGAATAGGGCCTAGCACTTAGTAAGTACCCAATAAATATTACCTATTAGCAAATTGTCATTTTTTATGCATACGGCATTTTAGACATTCCATATTGTTACAGCATGTTGTTATTTACGTGAAGTTTTCTAACTGTCATATTCTTGGTGTGGATCATTAAAATAGAGATTTTAAATAAATCCCTTACATATCACTTGAACGCAGGGAGGGGAATGCCAGATAAATACATATTTGAATGAAAGACTGAAGAGTTTGCTGAGAAACAACTTTAGCTAACAGTGGCAGGAGTAAGAGCCAGGCATGATGAGGCTGACACTATAGCTAAACCCCAGGAGTAGAGAGGAATTCTGTGTACGGCATAACAATTCCCTCAGCTTTGCTTCTCACTAAGCTCCCCTAGATTTATGTACCAACCTTATGTATAAGGGTGATTTATTTTAACTTAAATATTAAAGTACTGGTTTAATAAATGTCTAATCTTGTAGCGCAATGCCACTAAATATTTCCAAATACAACACACACAAAATGGGGCCTCAGTTTACAAAACACCATAACACAGCTTTGGGCCCTTGTTTCAGAGGAGACATTCCCAGTAGGGTACCATGGACCCCTCACAGAAACTTGCTGGACAGTGAAAGGGTTTTGTGTTTACATCTCTTTGCCTTCTAAGTTACTTCTCTTGCAATTTTTTTTGGCTCTAATTTTTTACTGAAAACAATAATTTTTTAAAAAAAACAGCATTTACTGTCATTTGGGTGCCAGGCATCTGGCTTGACATTCTTTATATGTGGCATCGTTTTCAGACACTTTCATTTTACTCTATGAGGTCCTTTTTTTTTTTTTTTGAGATGGAGTTTTGCTCTTGTTGCTCAGGCTGGAGTGCAATGGCGCAATCTCGGCTCACTGCAACCTCTGCTTCCTGGGTTCAAGCGATTCTCCTGCCTAAGCCTCCTGAGTAGCTGGGATTACAGGCACCTGCCACCATGCCCAGCTAATTTTTCTATTTTTAGTAGAGGCGGGGTTTTGCCATGTTGGTTAGGCTGGTCTCGAACTCCCGACCTCAGGTGATCCACCCGTCTCGGCCTCCCAAAGTGCTGGGATTACAGGCATGAGCCACCGTGCACGGCCTCTATAAGGTAATTCTTATTTCCATTTTAAGGGTAAGAACACCTCTGAAACTTGGTTTTACTTTCCTATCACATGTTAGACTATGATTTGGACTAAGGACTGACCCCAAAGTCCATATCTTCCCCACTGGACTCCTGCCCCAGGTATACTCAGATAGCATATTAGTAAACAATAAAGTACAGTATATGAACAAAGTATTTTAATGTCTTGAACTCTGCTTATGAAATGCATTTTTTAATTTTACTTGTTCTTAAGGGCTAAGTTAAAGTCTCAGGCCACTGAAAAAGGTTTCTGAACATTCGTGTCAGAAAACAAAATAAAACACGACTTAGATTATCTTGGTTGGATTGAATTTAGGGAAAATTCTCCTTGGAGCCATACCTATATTCAATCTATCTAGATTTCCTCAGTTAAATACCAATAACAGTCTTCCCTGGTTTGCTTATTCTGGGTGATTTTCTTTGAGATTATGTTTCACCTTTGTTGACAGCAAGCTGAACATTCCCACATTATCATACTGTTTATTTTACTTTGTTGGCTAATGCACTGTCACCGCTAGGAAAACTTCACAGCTTTGAATATGAATGTAACATCTGGTTTCGTTTCAATAACATTTCATGCTGCAAATGCAAATATGATCTTTTTTGTGTGTACTTCAACAAAAAAGTCTCATATAGTCGTTCTAATTGAAGGCTGATTTCCACATTCCAGTTCCTGAATGCCATGGCTTTGCCCTACTTTTTTCTTTTTTGAACATAGATGGAAGTATAAACGTGTGTTCTAAATACATCCCATACTGCTCCTTCCGTTTTGTCAGAACTTTAATCTGTAAACGTGCCATGTCCTTAATTTGTCGGATTTTGGGGACACTGGGCAACAAGTAAAATGTCTCTTTCTCGATGCTATCTGAATTTATACATTAAGACAATTTGTGACATCTTATGGCATATGATTCATCTCTCATCCAGAAAATCAAAATTACAGATTTTGATAAAAGTCATACAGTGAAAACTATTGATCACTCTTCTACACTATAAGATTTTAGCAGGCAGAGATTTTAAAAACACACCCTGTTATGATATTTACTGGAGCAAGTGTGGAAGGCAGAGTTGCTGTCCACATATGCAATTCATAGGTTATAGATTTCTGTTTTTAGGTAATGATGCCTGGATTCATAGAAATATCCCTCACACACAGCTACAAGTTTAAGCTACTGAGGTTACATTTAAAATAACCTTCTCCAAAAACTTTTCATGTCTGTTATAGAACAAGCCATGCGAACAACTAAAGATGTATAAACACAAACTTTTCTTCCTTCTATGAGATTTGCTTAGTTAGGAGAATTAAAACTATGTACTTACAAAGAAGAAAAATGAAAACAGAAGTCAATATATGAGGGCTAATTAGTGAGATCTTTGCCAGTAGTATGGAAATCTAGAAAATAAATAAAGTATATTTGGTTAAGTATTTAGGAAGAAACACAAAAGAACAAAAATTGGAGTTTAGCAGTGGATATTACATTTGCAACCCATGAGTAGAGAGAAGCATTCTAGGCAAAGGGAATGGATTCATAAAACATCTGAGGGGGAGAAATTCAAGGTGTTCAAGGATGCAGTTTTCTATCCAGCATTCTTTAGCATCCTGGCAGCCTGAGACTGGCTCACAATTGTGCCCAGATGCTGTTTAGTTACACTTGGCCAACAGCCTATAGCCCCCACAAGTTAAACATGAGTTCATACTGATCTTTGTAACTTTAACCTATTACCACTTTGTAAACCAAAAACAAAATTCTAAGCCTCCCAACCAACTGAATGGACCCCCCTTCTAGCCAAGAGTACCCAAAGAAACCTGAGAAATGAGTTCAGGTCATGACAGAAGGAGGAAAGAAGTTTGGCATGTCTCATTATACTCTCCTCCTTTTGGAGTTCAGTACAACTGACTAGCATTAACATTAACATTATTGTGAAACGGTGCTGCAAAGCTCTCTTCTGTGGAGAAAATTTACAGTGTGTAAAGAATATCCTTACCTTTCCAGGTTTTTTCCCGATACAGGAGAGATTTAACTAAAAGTCTAACATCTTTTAAAACCTGACAAAATACATTTACCATCTATTATATCTGAAGCCTGTTACCTGAAGGCTCCATCTACACAGCGAGAACCTTGGCTTCCACATCCCTCCTTATCTTAAGCTGAACTCCTTCAACCAACTGCCAATCAAGAAATCTTTGACTTCACCTATGACCTGAAAACCCCCACTTTGAAATGTCCAGCCTTTTTATATCGAGCCAATGTATACCTCACATGTATTGACTGATGTCTTATGTCTCCTCCCCAAAATGTGTAGAACCAAGCTGTACCCAACCACCTCGGGTAAATGTTCTCAGGACCTCTTGATATTATGCCTCAAGCCATGGTCACTCATATTTGGCGCAGAATAAACCTCTTTAAATGTTTTAGAGTTTGACTTTCTTCATGAACAACTTGGATTAGTCTAGGCTTCTCCTCTTGCTTATCTGTAAACATGCATTGCAATAATGAGAAGCTTGGCTCTGACTTCATTCCTCTATTTACTTATGTGTTATATTCCGGTACATCGTATACTAATACAGGAATGTTATAACCCATCCATGTGTAGAAAACAACTTTATTAACTAGATTACAAGGTTTATGTGCAGTGCATTTTGACTTTAGTTTTATAAACTCCTCTCATTTCCAAAGTTACTGAGGTCAGCAACTTCCTGCCTACCTGTATATACCTCATTCAGTGAGGTTGCTTCATAATTGGATAGTAGAGTTAGGTTATTTTAGTACATTCTCCCTGATTCTCTAAATATATATATATATATATATATATATATATATTTAATTTGTGTACATCAAGGTTCACACTTCGTACTAGAAAATTATATGGATTTTTACAAATGCATAAGATTATATATTCACAATTACAGCATTATACAGAATAGCTTCCTTGCCCTAAAACAAAATTCACCATGATTCCCCCACTAAATCTTTATTCCAGCTCCCAAATGCCTGGCAACCATTGAGCATTTTACTGCATCCAAAGTTTTATGTCTTTCAAAAGATCACATAAATGGAAACATATAGTATGTAGCTATTTCAAAGTGGCTTTTTTCACTTATCAATACATATTAAAGATTGACCCTTATGGGTCGGGCACGATGGCTCACGCCTGTAATCCCAGCACTTTTGGGGGCCGAGGTGGGAGGATCACGAGGTCAGGAGACCAAGACCATCCTCGCTAACACGGTGAAACCCTGTTTCTACTAAAAATACAAAAAAAATTAGCTGGGTGTGGTGGTGGGTGCTTGTAGTCCCAGCTACTCAGGAGACTGAGGCAGGAGAATGGCATGAACCCAAGAGGCAGAGCTTGCAGTGAGCCGACATCGTGCCACTGCACTTCAGCCTGGGCGACAGAGTGAGACTCTGTCTCAAAAAAAAAAAAAAAAAAAATTGAACCTTATCTTTTTGTAGCTTCACACGTCATCTCATTTTATTGCTGAATAATATTCTATTATATGAATTTACAACAGTTTTGTTTTTCAGTTCACCAATTGAAGGACATCTTGGTTGCTTTGAGTTTCTGCCAATTATAAATAAAGCTATTATAAACACACATTTACAAATTTTTGTGTGATCATACTTTTTCAAATCACTTGTGCAAATTTCTAAGTGTGCAATTAGTGTTGCATCATATGGCAGTGTTGTATTTTGCTGTGTGTTTTGACTGCTGCTATGGTTTGGATGTGTCCCCTCCAAAATTCACATGTTGACAATATAAAAGCATTAAGAGGTGGGGCCTTTAAGACACTATTAAAACATGAGGGCCTCTTCCTCATAAGTGGGATTAAGGCTTTAAAAAGAAGACACCCGGTATTTGGCCCCACTTTCCTTTCTACTTTCTGCCATGTGAAGATGCAGCAAGAAGGCCCTCCCCAGACACCTAATGCTGACATCTTGATCTTGGACTTCCCAGTCTCCAGAACTGTGGGAAATAAATTCTTGTTCCTTGTAAACTACCTCAACAAATGAGTTAGAAAGTGTTGCCTTTGCTTCTATTTTCTGAACGACATTGTGGAGAAATAGTACCTCTTTTATCTTAAAGTTTAATAGAAATCTCCAGTGAAACCATTTGGGCCTGGTGATTTCTTTTTTGGAAGGCTATTATTAATTGATTCATTAAAATAAATAGATATATACCTATTGAGACATTTATTGGTCTTTCAATGAGTTTAGTAGGTTCTGTCTTTCAAGGAATTGGATTGTTTCATCTAATTGTCAAATTTGTGGGCATAGCATTCTTCATCGTATTCTTTTATTAGCCTTTTGACATTCACAGAATCAGTAATAATGCCCCTTTTAAATTTGTGATACTGATGGTTGATTTTTCTTTCTTTTTTTCTTAGTTAGCCTGACTAAAGATTTATCAATTTTATTTAGTCTTTTCAATGAGCCAACATTTGGTTTTGATGTATTTCTCTACTGATTTCCTGTTTGCTAATTTATTGATTTCTGTTCTAATATTTGTTATGTCTTTTTATCTGTTTGCTATATGCTTTAATTGCTCTTCTTTCTTTTGTTTCTGAAGATGAACATTTAGAATTCTGATTTTAGATATTTTTCTTTTTTCTTGATATATGTATTTAATACATTTAATTACTAAGCCAATGTTTTTGCAACAGCCTACAAATTTTGATAAATTTCACGGTTATTTTCATTTGGCTCAAAATATTATTTAAATTTACCTTGAGATTACCCCTTGTCCTGTTTGTTATTTATAAGTATGCTGTTTAATTTGGGTATTTCACAACTATATTTCTGTCATTGATTTGTAGTTTAATTTCATTGTTTTTTGTAAGCATACTTTGTAGATATCTTATTCTAATAAAAAATTTCAAAAATTTTTTTAGCTCAGATTCTGGTCTCTCTTGGTGAATATTCTATGGGAGCTTGAAAAAATGTGTATTCTGCTATTGTTAGTAGGGTATTCCATAAATATCAATTAGATCATGTTGATTGATAGTGTTGCTTAGGTGAACCATATCCTTACGAATTTTTGCTGCTTGAACTATCATTACTGAAAGAGGATTACTGAAGTCTCCAGCTATGAGAAAACATTTGCCTATTCTCCTTGTACTTCTTCCACTTTTTTGTTCATGAATTTCAGTGCTTATTTTTTAGTCATGTACATATTAAGAACTATTATGTCTTGTAGAACTGAGCACTTTATTATCACATAATATAACTTTTTAACCCTGGTATTTTTTTGTTCTGAAGTCTATTTCATGTGTCAATAATATACCTATTCCAACTTTCCTTTGATTAGTCTTAGTCTTTTTCTATCCCCTTACTTTTAACCTACATGGGTCTTTATATTTAAATTAAGTTTCTTGCAAACAACATAGGATTGATTCTTAGTTGTTGTTTTTTTTTAAAATCCATTCTGACAATCCCTTTAATTAAACTGCTTTTGCAATTTACATTTAAAGTAGTTATTGATATTGTTGGATTAATAGCTACTGTATTTGTAACTGTTTTCCATGTATTGCACGTGTTCTTTATTCTGCTTATTTTTCTGCATTCTCTGTCTTACATTTATCACTTTATATGATTACATTTTATTTACTCTCTTAGCATATCCATTATGCTTTTTAAAAAATTTAGTTGTTAAAAGGTTTTTAATGGACTTTTATAGCTACTATAAGACCAGCTTCAACAAACACTGTACCACTTCACATATAGTACAGTTCCCTTATATCAAAGTATTCTTAATTTGTTCCTCCTTCCTTTAGGACACTGCTGTCATTCATTTCACCTATCCATATACTATATTCACCTAATACATTGTTGGGTGAGTTATTATTTTTGAGATCAATTATAAATAATAAAAATAAAATATTTTTATAATCTTATATATTCCTTTCCAATGTTCTTAATCTCTTTATGTGGATTCAAGTTTTTGACATATTATTTTTCTTCTCTCTAAAGAAGTTTATTTAATTCTTCTTCAGTGTAGATCTGCTGCCAATAAATTCGGTCAGGATTTGTTTTTCTCAGAATTTACTTGTTCAATCTTCACTTTTGGAGAATAATTTTCTTGAATATAGAATTCTAAGTTTTTTTTCTTTTAACACTTCAAATATTTTACTCTATTCTGTTAGCAGTTTCTGATGAAAAGTCTGCTATAATTCTTAGATTTGTTCCTCTATAAGTAAGACACTTTTCTTCTTCTAGCTTCATTTAAAAAATCTTCCCTGTCTTTAGTTTTGCAGTTTGAATATGATAAGCCTAAGTGTAGATATTTTGTTATTTATCCCAGTTGGTATTCTCTGAGCTTCTTGGATCTGTGGTTTGGTTTCTGTCACTTAGTTTGGAAAGTTCTCAGCCATTATTTCTTCCTGGTTTTTGTTTGTTTGTTTTTTTGCTTTTTCCTCTTTTTCTTTCCCTTCCATCATTCTAGTTACATATAGGTTACATTCTGTATAATGGTCTCACAATTCTTAGATGTTCTGTTTTCTTTTCTTTCTTTTTTCTTTTCCTACTCTTTTCTCTCATTGCATTTATGTTTTGGAAGTTTCTAGTAAACTTATCATTAAGTTCTGTGATTTTTTTCCTACCATATCCAGTCATATAGTGAAATCATTTAAGACAGTTTTAAATTTACAATATAGTATATTTTATTTCTAGGATTCACATTTCATCTTTTCTTAAACCTTCCATTACTCTGTTTATACTATCCATCTGTCCTATATGTTGTCTTCTTTTTTATTAGAGCCCATAGGATAGTAATCATAATTATTCTAAATTCTCTATCTGATTATTTCAATAATCTGTGTCAGATCTGAGTTTGGTTCTGATGCTTGCTTTTTCTTGACTTTCAGCATGCTTTCCAAATTTTGGTTGAAAGCCAGATATATTAGGTAATAGAAACGGAGATAAATAGGCTGTTAGTAAGAGGCCTTATATTAATCTGTTTTAGAGTTGGATTATGTTTAGTGCTTCCTGTATCTGTAGGCACTAGAGCATTCAAATTCCCCTAGTGTCCTTGCTACTGTCTCCCCTGGTATCTTTAAGCTTCCTTAATAACTTTCTTTACATAATTTGTACCTGGCAACTCTTCAGTTACAATCAACCTTTATTAGACTGGAGCCTTGTGTGGCGGTTGCAAAGTGGATAGTGAGAAAGTGTTTTATAACCTTGTAATTTAAACACAGTCTTTAGTGTGCTTGTGTTTTTGGGCTGTAACCTTTGTAAGTGTATTTCCCCTGTCGCCTCTTAGGTGCCACAGGAAGGCTGGAGTTGGGTAAATGTCCTTCCTTCTGGTAGGGTAAGATCTGTGAAGTCTTTTCCCCTGCAAAGTAGGCCTGTGTTGTGGAGAATGCTTTGGGCTTATTTAACTATGGTTACTCACTCTTCTCCTCATCCTTCCAGATCCAGGAGGGTATCTTCTTCAGATTTTCACGGTGAGAATCTGGTGGTATTCCTTGAGGTAAAACCCACAAAATCATGGGCCCTCTCCTAGGAGTATAGTCCCCAAGGAGTTTCTCACTCTCTTATTTGTTCATATTCAGCATCCAGCAATTCATTGAAACTAACATGTAAGTGTTTGTAACGTGGAGTTATGGCTTCAGCAGCTTCTTCTCAAGGTACATAGATCTAAACTGTGTCTCTCTTGGTAAGCCTATCTCTCCAGATTTTAGGGTAGTCATCTGCCCTAAAACCTTAGTTCTCAGATGAGTCTAAGATAAAAAATCACTGGTTTTCAGTTTGCCCAGCTTTTTTCTTCCAAGTGTGGGAATGACAAGTTCTAAGCTCCCTGAAAGTCAGAGATAAAATCAGAAGTCTTCAATAAAAAATACGTATTTTTTAACATTTAAGTTCAGGGGACATGTGCAGGTTTGTTACATAGGTGAACTTGTGTCATGGGGTTTGTTGTACAGATTATTTCATCACCTAGGTATTAAGCCTAGTACCCATTAGTTATTTTTCCTGGTTCTCTCCTTCTTACCATCCTCCATCCCATGATAGGCCCCTGTGTGTCTTGTTCCACTTTATGTGTCTATGTGTTCTCATCATTTAGTTCCCACTTATAAGTGAGAACATGCAGTGTTTGGTTTTCTGCTACTGCATTAGTTTGCTAAGGATAATGACCTCCAGCTCTGTCCATGTTCTTGTAAAGGACATAATCCCATTCTTTTTAGGACTGCATAGTATTCCGTGATATACATTTACCACATTTTTTGTATGCAGTCTATAATTGATGGGCATTTAGATTGATTCCATATGTCTTTGCTATTGTGAATAGTGCTGCAATGAATATACACATGCATGTGTCTTTATAATAAAACAACTTATATTCTTTTGGGTATATACTCAGTAATGGGATTGCTTGGTCAAATGGTATTTCTGTCTTTGGGTCTTTGAGGAATCACCACACTGTCTTCAGCAATTATTGAACTAATTTACACTACCACTAACAGTGTATAAGTTTTCCTTTTTCTCCACAACCTTGCCAGCATCTGTTATTTATTGACTTTTAAGTAATAGTCATTTTGACTGATGTGACATGGTATTCATTTGTGTTTCTCTAATGATCAGTGATGTTGAGTTTTTTTTCAAATAATTGTTGGCTGCATAGTATGTTTCCTGGTGAAAAGTGTCTGTTCATGTCCTTTGCCCACTTTTTAATGAGGTTGTTTGTTTTTATTCCTTACAAATTTATTTCAGTTCATTGTAGATTCTGGATATTAGCCCTTTGTCAGATGAGTAGATTGCAAAAATTTTCTCCCATTCTGTAGATTGTCTGTTTACTATGTTGATAGTTTCTTTTGCTGTGCAGAAGCTCTTTAGTTTAATTAGATACCATTTGTCAAGTTTTGCTTTTGTTGCAATTGCTTTTGGCATCTTCATCATGAAATCTTTGCCTGCGCCTATGTATTGAATGATATTGTCAAGTTGTCTTCTAGGGTTTTTATAGTTTTGGGTTTTACATTTAAGTCTTTAATCCACCTTTAGTTAATTTTTTTATAATTTGTTTAAGGAAGGAGTCCAATTTCAATCTTGTGCATATGGCTAGCCAGTTATCCCGGCATCATTTATTGAATAGGAAATCATTTTCCCATTGCTTGTTTTAGTTGGGTTTGTTGAAGATCACATAGTTGTAGGTGTGTGGCCTTATTTCTGGATTCTGTATTATGTTTCATTGGCCTATGTGTCTGTTTTTTGTACCAGTACCATGCTGTTTTGGTTACTGTAGCTCTGTAGTATAATTTGTAGTCAGCTAGTGTGATGCCTCCAGCTTTGTTTTTTTTGCTTAGGATTGCTTTGGCTATTTGGGCTCTTTTTAAGTTCCATTTGAATTTTAAAATAGTTTTTCCTAGTTCATTGATGAACATCAATAGTTTAATAGGTATAGCATTGAATCTATAAATTTCTTTGGGCAGTATGGACATTTTAATGACGTTAATTCTTCCTATTCGTGGGCATGGAATGTTTTTCCGTTTGTTTCATCTCTGATTTCTTTGAGCAGTGCTTTGTAGTTCTCCTTGTACAGATCTTTCACCTCCCTAGTTAGCTGTATTCCTAGGTATTTTCTTCTTTTTGTGGCAATTGTGAATGGGATTGCGTTACTGATTCAGCTCTCAGCTTGACTGTTGGTAGTGTATAGGAATGCTAGTGATTTTTGCACACTGATTTTGTATCTTGAGACTTTGCTGAAGTTATCAGCTTTAAGGGGCTTTTGCCTGAAACTATGGAGTTTTCTAGATATAGGATCATGTCATCTGCAAACAGGGACAGCTTGACTTTCTCTCTTCTTATCTGGATGCTCTTTATTTCTTTCTCTTGTCTGATTGCCCTGGCCAGGATTTCCAATACTATGTTGAATAAGAGGAGTGAGAGAGGGTATTCTTGTCTTGTGTCAGTTTTCAAGAGGACTTTTTCCAGCTTTTGTCCACTCTGTAGGATGTTGGCTGTGAGTTAGTCATAGATGGCTCTTATTATTTCGAGGTATGTTCCTTCAATACCTACTTTATTGAGAGTTTTTTTTAAACAGGAATGTATGCTGAATTTTATTGAAAAACTTTTCTGTATCTATTGAGATAGTCATGTGGTTTTTGTCTTTAGTTCTGTTTATATGATGAATCACATTTATTGACTTGTTTATGTTGAACAAACCTGCATCTTAGGGATAAAGCCTACTCTATCATGGTGGATTAGCTTTTTCATATACTGCTGGATTCAGTTTACCAGTGTTTTTTGAGAATTTTTGCATCACTGTTAATCAAGGATATTGGCCTGAAGTTTTCTTTTTTATTGTATATCTGCCAGGTTTTGGTATCAGGATGATGCTGGCTTCACAGAATGAGTTAGGGGGGTGTCCCTCCTCCTCAATTTTTTGGAATAGTTTAAGTAGGAATGGTACCAGCTGTTCTTTGTGCATCTCTTGTGTCACTGCATGTGAGATGGGTCTTTTGAAGACAGCATACTGATGGGTCTTGGTTCTTTATCCAGCTTTCCACTCTGTGTCTTTTAATTGGGATATTTAGCCTATTTACATTTAAGGCTAGTATTCGTATGTTTGGATTTGAACCAGTCATCATGATAAGCCATTGTTATAGACTGTCTAAAAGTCAGATAAATAAAGCATCATTATGTTACATAATCAAAATAATGCCCCTGGAAGTCAGCTGAGGTGCCTCAAAGATATAATGGAATCATATAGGAAGAATGTTCTCTGAGAGCTGATGGAATTTGACCATGATCACACTTATATTGAGCACTAAATGGCTAGCCTGATGTCACTTAAGAGATTCTTATAATTTTCAATTCCACCTAGTACACCATATACAAAACTACTACCTCCACACTTTTTTCTGTGTTGGAATCTAGTCCTATTAGATGTATTATTCACTGTTAAAAATTATTACATTGTGCCAAGTACCTGAGGCAGATTTGGATTCTGACATTGCTCTTTCATAAGGCTCATAAGCATCATTGTCTGTGCTTTGAATAAGTACAAAATCCAAACTTCATATTAGAAAGAAAGGGGTATTCTGATTTGGATGAAGTCTGAGTCACGTTGAGTTTTGGGTAAAGGTGTATTACATGTAATTAATGGCCCAACTTAGCACCCAGAACAGGCCCTCTTTAGAAAGTCCAGAGATATCATGCACACTATGAATATAAGACTGTAAAATGAGGATTTGGTTCAATTTTTCTTCTGTTTTATTGGACTAGGGCTGCCACTGTCTTAAATGATTCTTCCTCTTATAATTGTTACTAGGACATTGCAAAGATTCTTGAGCATGTCTGCACTGTCAGAAATGGAGCCCTCATCTGCCCTCTCCTCTAATGTTCCTGCTACCTACGTGATGAAAGAAAATTATACCCTGCCACATACATTTCTCCTCTCCAATTTCTAGTTCTTATACATAATTGAGACAGGGGAATGGATCTCCTCTGAAGCACTTCTAATTTGTAGGTATAGGAAGAGGGCCCCAATGACAATTTTTTTCCTTGATGTACTTTTTGAGAATTAGGGACTCACCTTCCTCAAATTAAGACCCTTATTCAAAGAGCAAGGTCATTGCTTACTGGGAAGAATTCAATCACCCAGTTACATCTGGTGAAATAATTTTACGAGCGAGACAAAGTGGCAGCAGAGGTCAGGGGACTTCAGTCATACAAGTAGAGATACCTGCAGGATGTCAACCCCTGATTATGCCAGTAATGGCGTATGCTCTACATTTAGCTGTTTGCCCTATCATTTTTTCTAACCTATAATTATGTTACCAGGAGCAATCTCATCCTGGCAATAAATTTCTATGGTGAAACACGCTACTCTTGGGAGCACCATTTATAAATTGTCTCCTCCTGTTTGACTCCATGAACCACGTACTTAACCTGCAAGTGATCGGGAGTATGTATTTAATTATAACTTGCCTGGTGTGCATCACTAATTAAGGAACAGGATGAGTTCTCAGTCTAGACTGGAGATTTCTATAAGAAAGATACATTTCACTATGGAGGAGACCTGCTCTTGATTTGATTTAAAACGAAAAGGAAAAGAAAGAAAAAAAGAAGAAGAATTTTAAAAAATTCATATTTATTGCATATGTGGGTCTTCGAAGGTTGCTGAGAACTTGTTTAATGAATCTGGGTGCTTCTGTGTTGAGTGCATATATATATTTATGGTAGTTAGAGGTTTTTGTTGAATTGAACTCTTTACCATAATGTAATGTCCTAGTTTGTCTTTTTTGATCTTTGATGGTTTAAAGTCTGTTTATGTGGTTTAAAGTTGGTTTAAAGTCTGTAATATGTGGACAATAATACATACTTGAGAATATTTTTTGATGCATCAATATTCTGAAGCATCACAAAAATATTCTCAAGTATGTATTATTGTCCACATATTAAAGATTTAAAAAATGAGCCAAACAAAAGTCGTAAGTATATCAATGATAAGACCAACGTAATTAGAAAGACGCTAATTATTATGTCACCATCTCAAAGTGCTCCTCTGAATGTGAGATTCGTATATCTGATGCCTATGACATACTCATTTGGGTAGCTAATAGACGTCTCATATTCAGTAGATGTAAACTAAAATTCAGATTTTTCTTCAAAACCTGCTTTCTTTTATCTTTCACTGTCTCACATATTGGCAATGACATTTTTCTACTTCCTCAGGAAAATATAATTTTAGATTTATCCTTAATCCTTTATCTCAGAATTTAAAGCCAATTTACCAATGTCTCTTTTGGGTCCTTCCTCCAAAACATAAATTCTAAATATTCTTTCCAATTACTCCTGAGTGATCTATTTGTAGCCAGGACCCTGGTTCACACAACTTCATACATTCATATAATAAAATTGACAATTCTGAATATTTCAGGGGTCATGGAGAAAAAAATGCAAAATTTAAAAATATTTAGAATTTAATAAAATTAAAATAACCTCAATTTTTCATTTTTCTTATATTTGAACATTTCTAATATTAAACTTGCCAACAGCCATACAGTCTTCTATAAAAGACAGTGACTGTTGTATGTTTTCCCCAACATTCTACAGTTCCTTCTCTTATTTATAATTTATATGTCTCCTTGATTTAAAATTTCATCCAATACCTCCAGAGATTTGATAGTTTTTCAGGCTTTAGTTGCATACTTATCTACTTATCTTGCATTAGTCAATTGTCTGAATGCATTTCAGGAGCAAAAGTAATACAGTTTCTTCTGCTAGTGGGCAGCTTCCTTTCTTATTTGCTGTTAAGTCTTTGCTTGCTGCTCTGGAAGAGGAACATATGAGAGTGTTGTCAGTCTTCCAATGAGGAATATTTGCTTTAACAATGTCCAATGTATAAACTAATGCTGTATTTCTATGCCTTTCTGAGTACATGACATATTTTCATTATGACTTAAAATCATGTTAATCCATTTAGAAGCCATTTTAAACAACAGTTTAACTTTGCGTGTGTAACATTAACAATGCACATAGTTAAACTGATATGATGATAGCATGAAGAGCTACGTCCAAGCTGAGCTTAAGCTCAGTGACTATTACATAATGGCTTTTTCCTGGATAAAAGCAATTATGAGGCTTACTAAAATTTCAGAAACTTTGATATGTGAAAAACATTTTAATCTTATACTTTCTGAAATATGGTACTTTTTCATTTCTCTCCTTGTTATTTGGAAAGACAAAAATAAATTTTACTGTTGTTTCATTTTCATTAATTTACAAATCTTTCCTAGCACTAGTAATTTATATCTCTTGTTATTAGAGTCACCCAACTGATAATGCCTTTAATTTTGTTTTCTTTGTGGCAAAATCTATGTGTTATTTTATGCATGAAGTATATGTTTCTTGTCCCCCATATTTAGATAATAGGTGTTTTAAATGTATAATTGTGGATGTTTAAATTTCACTGCAATGTATCTCAGTCTTGGTTTTTTTCTTAATTATGCTGTTTGGCATTCCGAATAAGGATAATCATATAATTTATCTTCCACAACAGGGCACTTTAGGAATAAGAGGGAGTATGAAAACAATTTAGATTATTTAGTTTCTTGAAATGTATATTTATTAAATGGCAAACTAGTCTTTACTCTGTGTTAGTGGAATTCTCTATTCCTATTCAAAAGCTATCTTTAAGAATAAAATCCTTTATAAATTAAAGCAACATTTTAAAGATTTTTTTATATTGATTAAATAAAAATAAAAATAACAGGTAGATGCACACCTACAACCATCTGATCTTTGAAAAAGCTGACGAAAGCAAGCAATGGGGAAAGGATGCCATATTTAATAAATGGTGCTGGGATAATTGGCTAGACATATGCAGAAGATTGAAACAAGACCCTTTCCTTATACCATTTACAAAAATCAACTCAAGATGCATTAAAGACTTAAATGTAAGACCCCAAACTATAAAAATCCTGGAAGACAAACTAGGCAATACCATTCTGGACACAGGAACGGGAGAAGATTTCATGATGAAGATGCCAAAAGCAATCACAACAAAAGCAAAAACTGACAAATGGCATGTAAGTAAACAAAAGAGGTTCTGCACAGCAAAAGAAACTATCAACAGAGTAAACAGACAACCTTTTAACTATCAACAGAGTAAACAGACAACCTACAGAATTGAAACTATCAACAGGGTAAACAGACAACTTACAGAATTGAAGAAAATATTTGCAAATAATGCATCTGACAGAGGTCTAATATCCAGTGTCTATAGGAACTTAAATAAACTTACAATTAAAAAAAATTTTTTTTAAAAGTCAGCAAAGAACATGAGCAGACATTTTCAAAAGGACACCTTTACTTATGTAACAAACAAGCATATATACCCCTGAACTTGAAATAAAAGTTAGTGAAAATTAAAAATTAAAAAAACTTTGAATAATGCATATCATGTACTTTATGATGTATCCATCTTTAATATTATGTTAATTATATGTTGTGAAAAATACCTAACTGTAATAATTATTATTAAATTTTAAATAAATTTTCTGAAATCTTTGAGGTTTTACTTTATTGTTAATGAATGTAAAATTGTCAGCACCTTTAATGACAACCTGTCTGAAGTTTATTTGAATTGAGAAAACATCCTACATAGATGCTGAGAAATCTTGTAAGTTCAAATGAAATTCTTTAAGCAAAAAAAATTTTTAATTTTATTTTCTTATGTAAATGTAAAACATTTCCCTACGTATTTTGAAAGGCAATTACTTTCTTCCTCCATTCAGAGTTGCTTTCTTCAACAATCTCAATAATTACAGTGTTGATATAAATTATTATTTTGAATATTTCATCAAATGTAAATGCATGCAAAATTGTGGCACTTCTCAATTCATTTAAATATGATACAAAATAAAAATTAATCCAGTTAAAATAGAAATGCAATAAAAATTTTAAGTTAATATAATATTTAATGATAGAATTTCAAAACCTTATGAACTGTTTGAGCTTTCGTTGTTCCACATGTTCATTTTCTCCTTTGTGTTTTAAGGGAGATACATTGTAGTTTGCCAGCTATATTTCCAACAATTATTTTCAGTATTTTTTGAATAACATTTTCAATAGAATTAAAGGAAATTGCTATCAAAGTGTAGCTGGCTCACCAAAAAGTTAGTACCAATTTAAGAAACTTAGTTTGATTTACAAAGTAGATTTTTAAAGCTTCTAACAATTTTAACATCCCAAGGATAATAGGCAGCAAAGACAGAAATCATGTACTAAACTGCTCACATATGTTTGTGTATTCAAATTTGTATCATCATAAAAGTTTTACAGTTATTCTAAATGTGTCTATGTAGAATACATGTAAATTTCTACAATTATAACTCCTATTTGGATTGGTACAAGTCTGAAGCTTGTTTGGATGAAATTATGAATTATATGTGTACCATAGCCAATTCCAAATGTTTTCAATCCAAAAGTTTCTTAATTAGGTAAGAGCTTTGTTTGTACCATAATATTGTGCTGCACCAAGATTTGTATTTACATCATCAACACAAACCAACCACCTTGTCTTCAGTGAAGGACTTTTTAACCTGCGTTTTTAATAATATAAACAATGATGTCAGATGTTTCATATTCAACAGAATAAAATTCTCATCTTTCCTGTAATACCATATACTGAATAAGAAAATCAAGCTGCCATTAGAATTAACAAATTTTCTATTTGAAGCAACTGCTGGCAGTGCTATAAAACTGGTACCATTATTCCCCAATTCTCATTCTGCTAATGGAACCAACTCCCAAGAGCCACTCTTGTTTATTGGCATCTTATTAGTAACTCACCATTTGGGAATCTCCTTTACTCTCTATAGATAATCTATTTAAATCGTGGTTTATTAGCCCTTAAAATGCAGGTAGGAGGGACAAGTAGAGGGTGTGCTCCAGCAGTCTATTCATCTGCCTGTTTCTGCTGTAATGATGATAGAGGGCATCCCTGTCTTAAGTTGATTCTAGTAGGAATTCATGAAATATTTTACTATTAAAAACGTTATTGATTATTGGCATGAGTTCTATGTCTTTTATTATTTTACAAAAATACTTCTCTTGCTATCTCACTAAGCATTATTTTTCTCTTCATATGGACATTGAATTTCACGAAAATCTTATCAGAATAACATGGATATGATAGAGTATTTTACTTGGCTCTTGTGCTGGTTAGCTTGTATAAAAAAAAGATGCCTGTGATTATCACAAGCTCCCCCCCACCGCCTCCTCCCTCACCCCCACCCCCTCCTCCACCCCCTCATTATGGATCCCTCTTTACAATGTAACTTTGTAGAGCACAAGAAAGACAATCTTAACACCATTCTGCAGCCAAGCAATCCTCCAACATGTGTCCAGGAGGAAATATAATTTCTCTTCAACCCTCATAAATTTGCAGTTGGGACAGACCCCTGTAACAAAAGACATATTAACAAGAGAAAAACAGATACATTTATTAATGTGTGCAGTGCACATCACATAGGAGAAACCTCAAAGGAGGGTAACTCAAAACAGTGACTGAGAAACTTGGCTTGTGTAGCACTGTCAACAAAGAACAATAAATGAATGGAGAAATGACAGGACAAAGAAAAGCAGCTTGGGGCCTCCCAAAGCAGGAAACTGTGGAAGGTAAATGCTTGGGAAGAAACTAATGGGGTAAGATTTGTTTGTAGATTCCTCTGGTGCCATCTCTGAGCTGATGAGTTGTCTACAGTACGGGAAAATTTATATTCTGTCTTCAGGCAGAAAAGGGGGAAGGCTTCTTAATTGCCTTTAGCTCAAAAGTAATTTTTATGTCAATAAGACATATTTTAGGGTGACATTTTCTGGTTTCCTTCATATGCAGGAAAGCTTCAATAAGTTCAGCAGTGCCACCTCCCCTACTTTCCACGGACCTGTTAACTCTTGAGCAATAATAAGTGTGTATTATATTTGAAAAACAAAGTTTGGGAGTTTCTGTAAGACAGTAAAAGCTAAATAATACAGAAAAATTGACCAGATTTGCTACAGGTGCATGTACATGTGTGAATAGGTGTATGCTGCACACACAAAAAAAAATCTAAAAATATGCACAGCAAATTGATATTGATGGTTATTACAGGAAAATATATGGATGTTTTAAATTTGTATGTAGTCAAGTCTGTCAATATCTTCATGGGCCACGTATTTTTTAATGTAATGCTTATTTCTTTCTGAGATTGGGATTACATTAATAATTTTAGGTTATTTAACCCATAACAGTGATTAGATATATTAATAGGATACTCAGTATCAAACCATATGTGCATTCTCTGAATCAACCATATTTGTCATTATTCTTTAAACAAAATGCTGGATAATATTTGATATTGTATTATTTAGAATTTTGTATCTTGATATAAAAGAAAACTGGTCTTGTATCTTCTAACTTTGCCCTATCTTCATCCCATTTACAATTTCAGTGTTTTTTTGAAAGGAATTTGGAAATGCTGTATCTTTATCTATTTTATGTCTGTTTACTCATTCCTTCTTAGAGCATTTATATTTCTTGTTTTTGTTTGTTTGTTTAAAACAGTTGCCATAGATCTATTTTATTCAGTTTTGCAAATGAGTAGTAATTACATTTATCTATAACTTTTACTATGTTTTTCTTGAATGATATTCTGCATCCAAATTGTATTCTTTCTTCCTGTTTACTTTGTTAGGCCAATCTTATTGTTCTCAGATTCATGAGGGTGCACTGCAATTTTGAGTTCAGAGAGAAGTTGAGAGTAGAAAAGCCTAAAATTTGGAGCAGAATTAGTACTTTAAAATCTTCCTGAACATAAGACATTAGATGACCCAGGAAGATGTAATTAGAATTCCTCGTAATTTAAGCAGATGGTATTGTGTAGAAGTAATATTCTGGGGTAGTTATTAACACCAAGAACAGCTATATATTTGTAAAATGACCAAGTATACTCATTAAACAAATATATATCAAGGGCCTAATATGTTTTAATCTTTAAGGTAGCACCACTGAAAACATTCAAAAGCATATAAGAAATAGTCTAATTTTTTTCAAGAAATGTATTTTTAATAAGGAAATTTAAAACTGTATCATCAAAAAATCTATTAATTTGTATTCTATTTATACATAGCTAACACTATAGCATGGAATGTATATAAACACACTCTAATAGGAGTTAGCATCTGCATAAGCTAAAGTGTAAACAGTCTGCCTCTGTTTAAATAACAAAGCCTTAACATCAGTCACTGATATTTGGGAATGCTGCACGAAGTTTTGATCTCTAAAACTATGCTACTTAGAGGTTGATGGGGTCAGAAGGAATCTTAAGATTCAAGTATGCAATTTATTTTGAAGAGAAAAGACTCAGAGGCAGGACATAGGCTTCAAATCAGCAAGATCCATGCCTGCAGAATCAGAGTCAGGGTGGGAGCAAGTGCTCCAAGCAGGTAGAAAGTGAGTGATTCATCACCAAGGTCATGCTGTCTGTCATGTTGTGACTTTTATGCTGGGTTTTACTGAATCAACAATGGAGTGTAATGGTTAACTTTGTGTGCCAACTTGACTGGGTTAAGGGATGCCCAAATAGTTGATGAAACATGATTTATGTTTCTCTGAGAGTTTTCCTGAAGAGATTGGGATTAGAATCAGTAGACTAAATAAAGAAGACCCAGAGTCCACAATGTGGGTGGACATTATCCAATTCCTTGAAGGCCTGAATAGAACAAAACAGTAAAGGTAGGACACACTTTGTCTCCGAGCTGGGATATTCATCTCCTCCTGCTTTTGGACACCAGGGCTCCTGGTTCTTAGGCCTTCAGATACAATCCTAGACTTACACTATTGGCTCCTCCCTCCCCTTCATTTTGGGCTTTCAGATGCAGACTAAATTGTACCACTGGCTTTTTTTATTTTCTAGCTTGCATTTGGCAGATCATGGGACTTCTTGGCCTCCATAATCATGTGAGCCAATTCCCATAATAAATCTTTATATAGAGAGATATACGCATATAAACTCCATGTATATCCATATATTTATATCTATATATTTATTTATCCACTGATCTATATCTATGTGTATGTGTGTGTGTATGAGATTTATTATGAGAATTGGCTCAGGGGACAATGTAGGCTTATGGGGTTATGGAAATTTTTATGTAGTTATCTCTATATATGTCTATATCAACTTCATATATGCATATATATATCACCACATAAAATCTTCTTTTTACCATATGATATACATACGCACACATCCTATATATATCCTATTGGAGATACACACACACCCACACATACACACACACATATACAGAGAAAGAGAGAGAGAGGGTGTGTGTGTGTGTGTGTATGTGTGTGTGTGTGTATCCTATTGGTTCTGTTTCTCTGGAGAGTCCTGACTAATACAGGGAGGTATCACGACTGGTCCAAGGACTGACACCACCAAGATCTGATCCCACGCTCCACCAGGGTTCCATACATGCATCACATGGATCCTTCGGCGTTTGCTCATTTGCAGCTTAGTGTGCTGACTTCCTGCCAGCAGAAACTGCACTGCCAGCCTCCCAAAATGAAGTGTGAATATCTGTCTCCACAGAGCATCCTCAGAGTGTGAGCCAGGTAAATACAAACATCTAAATTGCCCACCACTGCCTAACCAGCAGAGGGAGGCTAGAAGACCTATTCAGTGAGTTCAGAATAGGCCTCATGGGGAACAATAACTAATATTTATAGCTCCAATTTCTGTGCCAAGTGTTTTGTATACATTATTGCATATAAACTGTATACCAATTTCCTTTCACAGATGAGTAAACTTTATCTCAGAGAGGTGGAGTGACATCTTAGTTGCTGACAGATTTGAACTATGGCCGATCTACTTTCTAATTTTCCCTATATCCTGTTACCTTGCCAGAAGTCAGTGAGTATTTACTTAGTCATGAAATTACTTCCAAACTGAACTGGCATTGTTCAGCCAGGCCACAGAGGCCTGGAGACATGTGTGATGGGAAGATTCTTTTAAAATCATTGCCAATTTTCCAAATAGCTCCCTAAGCTCTGAAGAAGTCATCACTCAACCACTTCCTGAGCAAAACCTTTTGTGGTCATTGAAAGATTTTTAAAGATTTAAACTCAATATAAAAAGCACCTATTACCAGTTTCCAGAGAAAAAGAAAATTGAATTACTAGTGTATTGAATAGTCCATACAACTCAGTGTATTCTCTATCCTCAGTCTCCTTCTAAACAGAATGCCCCAAGGTGATCCTTAGACATAATTCCCCATGCTTTCTATAATGCAAACCTGTGAACCTACCTAGAATGCATCGCACCGGGAGTCTACACTTGGGTCAAAGAGAAGTAGTGATTGGTTAGTTTTAAGGGTCAATTTAAAGAGTAGCTTGGCAAAAGAATGCTCAGTCAGTGTGCTCTAACAATGAAGAGTGAATGACATGTCTCATCAAATTCTATCTCTTGACGAGTTTTTGTTGTAAATGAAAGAGGGGATGGGTAAAGAGTGAAGGGAAGAAAACCAAAGGGAACAACAAGATAGGGTCAAAAATAGAGTTGGGAGTATGGCAAAATTATTAGAGGTATATAGGCACATCTATTTAATAGTATGCCAAAATGATTAGGTCAATAAAACTTCCATTAAATTCCTAGAATTTCTGTTGTTAGCAGTATAATGTCAACTATGGTTTGCTGAGCTATTTCTGTGTGCCAGGCAAAGCACTATGCTTTGTCAAACATTATCAGATTTTATTGTGTTTACTAGTTTTGCTGAGTGTCCTTGGTGCTGCTTTGGTATCTGAATGGTGATGGTCACCCTTTCCATTGATTTAAGGCCCTGACATTGACGGTACTGGGACAGATCCCTGTGCTTGCTGACTTCCTGAAGCATCCTGATAAATATTCATAATTAGAAGCATAGAAGCACATTTACATTCTTATAATCTGTAATCTCCTAACACACTGGGAATTGAAAACCTAAAAGAAAAGTAAGTCAAAGCATATGATGCCGAATTGGTTATCACTGTTCCCTACATGAGTAATGAATCAGTTAAATCCTTCACTGTCTCAAGAAATCACCATCTGTTCTTTAGTCTTTAACTGATGTAAAAGATGTCTGAAGAAATCTCCAATGGGAAACAATTCTGGTGTTCATGAAAACCGGCTGGCAGATTAGTGGGTCAGCCAAGCAGATGGTGTCAGGGTGATTCGCCATCCTGGGCAGCTGCTGTCCTACCTGGGAAAGATGGCCATTTTCTCCTATGCATGAATCACAGATCTGCCAGCACCACTCAAGCTCCCAGTGTCTTTGCATCAAATAAAGAGTATATTCTGGAGACGGGACTTGGGACCCGGGAAATGAAAGCAGCAGAAGGCACAATACATTCTTCAACTTTAGCAATACACAGAGGGCACAGGCCAGGGTGGAAAAAGTTTTCTGGTAAAGCAAAACAAAACTTCATCAAATACATCAACTAGACAAGAATTCCAGATGGTGAATTTATACCTCCTTTTAGACATTTGGATATGATTGAAAAAAGTCAAGGACTTGATTCCCATGTAAGAAAATTTTGCAGGAAATTCCCATGTAAGAAAAATTTGCAGTGTCTATGCCATATTTATTTCATCTCAATTCTTGGCTCTACAGAGTAAGTGAAAGACATTTTCTGATCCCCTATTGATTATAACTTACATATAGTCATGTGGTGCTCAGTGACAAAAATGGATTACAAGAAATGCATCATTAGGTGATTTCATTGTATGGACATTACAGAGTGTACTTAAACAAACCTAGGTGGTAAAAAGTACTATACACTTAGGCTATATGGTATAGGCTATTTCTCCTAGGATACAAACCTGTACAGCGTGTTACTGTACTGAATATTGTAAGCAATTGTAACACAATGGTAAGTATTTATTTAAACATAGAAAAGCCACAGTAAAAATATGGCATCATGACCTTAATCTTATGGGACCACGGTCATATATGTGGTACCTTGTTGACCAAAATATCATTATATGGCACATGACCATATATCAAAAGTCTACCTGGAAAGTAGTGGGACATCTTTAGCATTTCTTGCAGCAGTTTTGACCCCAGGCAAAATTGTTCTAGGTTTCGAGGATAAAGCGGGGGGGGAAATAAACAGATGCTGCCCTGTTCTTACCAAGTTTATATTCCAGTGTGAGAACAAAAATTAAATAACTGATCAAGAAAAGAATAGATAATTCTGAACTAAAAAACAAAGTTCTCTGGAAAAATCAATCACAGCCAAGGAAAGCACAGAACACTGGGAATTGCCATCTGGCAACATGGGAGGGTGAGAGGGGGCATGGCGTGGCAAAGTGGACACTCAGGGAAGGTTTACCTGAAGACATGAGAAAGTTACACAGGAGCTGAAATAATGCAAGAGGAGTAGAAGAAAACTAGGCAACGCCTTATGGAAAATGCCATTCCAAGCAAAAAGAATGACATTTACAAAGAAAGTAAGAAAAGGATCCAGAAGCCTGTACTCTTCAGAGTAACAGAATTATAAACGCCTCCTTTTCTGCTTCATTCTTCTTCAGAACATTACACTATTAACGTATTACATTTATTATTGAATTATGTGTTTTACTACTTGTCTATCCTCACTATATTTAAGATCTATCAGGAAATTGATTTCTCTCCTGCACATACTTCTACATTCAATTTGTGAAACATTTTCTGTTTTTGCTTGTTTAAGAGAAAGGGGTCTCATTATGTTTCCCAGGCTGGTCTTGAACTCCTGGCCTTAAATGATCCTCCTGCCTCAGCCTCTAAGTAGCTGGGACTACAAGTGTATGCCACCACACCCAACCCTAGAACATTTTCTGACATGCAGTAGGTGCTTGAGAAATATTCATTAGCTGGCTGACTGAATGAATAAATAGTACAAGGTAATGCTGGGAGGTCCCAGGGCCCCAACAACTCAGGATCTTGTAGGCTGTGTTAGAAACTTGTTTATACCCTTAGAGTGATAAGAAGATGCTGAAGGATTCTACATGGAGGGATAGGGCATAGCCATTTATACATTCATGTATTAGATATATTTACTGAGCACTTCTTCTGGTACATATATCTTACTAGGCAGGTTCGCACTCAAAGGCAAACTGTTTTTTGCATCTCTGAATTGTTGAGGTACCAGGCACACTGGCAAGTCTGAAAAAGTAAAGTTTTCTAAGTAAGGATATGATTGGAGTAACAGGTGGAGAAGAGAGGAACTTTTAGACAGCAAGCACAAAAAGAATGGGAGGGCCCAAGGAAGTTACTGGCCTTCACATACTGTTCAAGCCTTAACTGTGGCAGTAATCAAGCACTTAGGAGACAATAGTGGTAGGGCAAAAGACTGTCTAATTGAAAGGAAAGTGATCTGGGAACTAGAAAGTGGAGACCCCAGGAAATATTCCCAAGAACCTATACTATATCCTTAAAGAGCAAGCATGCCCAAGAGCTACCTAGCTGTGTTCACATATTAGTGTGTAAAGCACTTTTACATACTAACATCATTTATTCTATGTGTTGCTGGTCAGAAAGGAAAGAAAGCAGTATTTATTTAGCAACTACTACATACCAGAAATTATCTACATATTATCTCATTTAATCTTCACAGCAATGTGAGAGTTGTATGCTTATACTATCTTCATTTCCAGATGGAAGACATAGACCAGGCAATGTTCACTTGTTTAGTGAGTGATTGAATGAAAATGTATACTCATATCTATTTTATGGAAAAATCCATGAATTTCCTGCTATTCCTAGTTTTTGCATGGAGGAGGAAGAGTAGAGGGAAGAAAAGAGGAAGAAGAAAATAAGAAGTAAGTGGGGGAGGAGGAAGACATGTAGCAGAGAGAAGACATGTAGCAGAGAACACACATTAGTGAGACTGAGAAATCATGCCATTAGCTTGAGTGAGATCCTTTACTTTAATCAGGGTTAAAAGAAAGGTAAGAAACAACAAAATAGTAAATTTATGTTAGACTGTGTGCCCAATACATAGAAATACAGAAACTTGTGACACAACATGTCTGTTCCAGGAAATGAAAATAAAACAGACAAACAAACACAAACCTTTGAGCAGCAAGGAGAGATGACAACAGAATGAAGAAACCTCCAATTTTACAGCTATACTGAACTGAGGCAGCTGACTGACAGGCAAGTCAGAGGTGCTCACTGCGATCCCCGCCTCTGCCCTGTGAGTTCAGAATTGACACTGGAGCCCTAACACACTACACATTCCAAGGTGTGTAAGTGAAGGTGATGTTGGAGCATGTCATAGTCTATTTGGGCTGCTGTAACAAAACACCATACACTGGGTGACTTTTAACAACAGAAATTTAGTTCTCGCAATTCTGGAAGCTGGAAATCTAAAATCAAAGCACTGGCAGATTCAATGCCTGGTGAGGACCCATTTCCTGATTCATAGGCGGTGCCTTCTTGCTGTGTCCTCACATGGTGGAAGGAGTGAATAAGCTTCCTCTGGTATCTTTTATAAGGGTCCTAACTCCATTCATGAGGAATCTGCCCTCATGACTCGATCACCTCCCAGAGGACCTACCTTCTCTCAATACCATCACCTTGAAGGTTAGGATTTCAATATACGAATGTGGGAGGGGGAGGAATAAACATTTAGAACATAACAGATAGTATGATAGTACACTGAAATAAGTATAGAGTAAACATATTCTGTGCAGTGGGGCAGATGTTTACAGGGAGGTATCAAATATATGAACATTTTTTTTTCTGAGAAAAATCCAGAAAGGTTGATGAGAATCCCTCATAAACCATGCTACAGCCCATAAACAGGGACTCAACCTCTGCCAACCACAATGACCTGCTGTGTGGAATCAAGAGACTTTCATTTCCTTAGTTTCCAGATCTCAGAGGCAATTTGGGAGAGCAGTCACTAGTGCTATCAAAAGGGGGATATTTTACAGTTAGGATTGCCACAATCAGCAAGTAAAAATACAGGTAAATTTGATATTTGAGTAAATGTCTAATAATTTTTTAGTTAAACTGTGAAGAATTTAGAAAATATTTTAAATCTGAAATTCAAATTTGACGGGGCATCCTGATTTTATCTAGTAGCGTTATTTATTGTTCATCTGAATTTTGGGCATCTGCAGTCAGACTGAGAATCCTCTGCATGAGGGGGAAACCTGACATGGATCAGTGTGGAACGCGGAATGGCAGGGGCCTCTGCAGACTGTCAGGGTGGAAGACAATGCCGGCAGGAGGCCTAGCCCTGTGTGCTTTCAGAGAAGAGATCACAGAGAGGAGTGAGACACATATTGAACATACCACCAAGGTGTGAAGGCTGCATCCAGGCCTCAAGCTGGCCAACTGGCCTGAAAACTTCCTCAGTAAGATTGAGGGGGCAGGCAGAGAACAAGAAAGCAGTCTGAAGATGGGTCAGGGCCTTTGGGAGGCAGAATCTTGGAAGTATATGGAAGTAAAGGGACATGTTCGATGGGAAACATTAAAAAAAAAAAGCCTGGTGATTGAGGCTTCAATCACGGTGGTCTTAAAAGTCACTGAGGAGTCAGTTTTAAAGTGAAGACCCAAATATGATTATTATAGTGGAATTTCCCTCAGGTACGCCAGGCTCAGAATTCCCACAATCCCCCAAAGAAGTGGGGCCGGAGTTAATATTAGAGTCACATTGCATTTTAGTTGTACATTGTTTAAGTAGAAAATAACTGAAATAGATTATGTCCAGTTCATTCTATTACTTTCCAGGCAGGTGTTAGCACCTGAGGCCTGGTTTGCCATTATTGTTTCCAGATAAAGACTGTCTTCCGGTGGTGTTAAAGAAAACTACCGAAAACATCCGCAACTCACAGGGCAATTGCAGCCAAAATTATTTTGCCAAGTTGCCTGAACAGAGTGCTCCTCTCTGGTGTCTATCACACGAATCTCCCTGCTTCCCTGTTCATTTAATGTGGCCTGAGCAAAGTCAACTTTGGGGGTTTTGGGGAGGGAATAGTAGGAGATGGGTTTAATCCTTTGTTCGACCAATGCCCTGGTACCCTCTGACAAGACCAGACCTAGGTCACTGAAGTCTGAGAGAGCTGAGCTTTGGATTTTGAAACCTTATATCCTTTGTTAGCCAGAAAATTAAGAAGAGCCTTACTGCCCTCCTGAGAGATTTCTTCAGTTGGAGCACAGAGGAGAATGTCATCTATGCATTGTAAAACTTGAACTCGAAGTTAAAGGAACTTGGAGAGGTCTCTTGACAATGCCTGCCCATACAAGTGGGGGCTGACTTGGAATGCCTGAGGTAACATTGTCCAGGTTAACTAGGCGGTTTTGTTAGAGGGACCAGGTCCAGGACTATGAACCATTTAGTCCCCTCAGGTATTTGAGCTAGCAGGGTATATGGATTGGGAACTACTGGGTGAACTGGAATCATAGCCTCATTAACAAGGTGGAGGTCCTGGACTAGTCTCCATTCCCCATTGGGTTTTTGTACCCCTGATATCAGGGTATTACAAGGGCTGTTGCAGGGTTTAAGGAAGCCCTGCAACCTTAAGCTATCAATGATGGCATCTAGTCTTTTCCTAACTTCTGGTTTCAGGGGATATTGTTTCTGGCTAGGAAATGAGGTTGGATCTGAACCAGTATGGTGATTGTGGCTCAGCCAATTTTCCCTTTAATTGCCCAAACATCTGGGTTAATATCAGTCTCCACTAGGGGAAGACAAAGAGTTTGTTCTGGGGCCATCAGGATGGTGGTCCCCATATGGGCCAGAATATCCCTGCCCAACAGAGGAGTTGGGCTTTCAGGCATAATTAGAAAAGCATGGTGAACAAGAGGTCTCCCCATCTACAACCAAGGGGTTGGGAAAACTATTGGGTTAAAGGCCTTCCTGAGATGCCCCTTATAGTCATGCAAAGAGAGGAAAGGGGACCTGGATTGGAAAGGAGAACTGAGAGACTAGCATATACCTCAAATACCTGAGGGGTCCAGAAGAAGATCCACTTTCCCCACTTCAATTTACAGAACTACCTAGGGCTCCTGGAGGGTAATGGTGGTCTGGATCACCAGAGCCAGAGAGAGGAGTTTCTGAACCCCTTGATACTGCTGGACCATTTGAGAGACTGGCTCTGGACCCAGTGACCAGTGTCCCCAGGAGCAGTCTACCTTCCAATAGTCCCCACTGCAGATTGGACGGGTCAAGGTGGGCTCCTAATGCTGCCTGGACAATCCTTCCTAAAATGCCCTGGCTTGCCACATCTGTAGCAGTTAACAGGCACATCTCAGGGATTCTGGGGTTTGTGGGCTTGCATGGTAGCCATTAAAGCCTCTACTTCTTTCCTGTGTCTCCTCTCTCTTTCTCGGTCCTCCCTATCTCTATTATAAAAGACCAAGGTTCTCTAAAGCACTACCTGGTCCCAGGACCTGTTTCTGTAGCTTCCACCTGATATCAGGGATGCCTCAGAAATAAATTTGTCCTCTAGGATTAGTTGTCCCTCAACTGAATCAGAAGATAGAGAGGTGTGCTTTACCAAGGCCTCTCTTCGCCTTTCCAGGAAGGCAGTGGGATTCTTATAGAATCCCTGGTCTATCATGGATAGCTTGGTATAATTGAGATGGTTAGTTCTAGTCCTACGTAAGCCCTCCATTATGCGCAGCTGAAAGTATCTCCTCTTCCGTTCTCCCTTCTTGTCATTGGGATCTCATTTAGGGTCATCTAATGGTACTGCTTCTTTTCCAGATGGATAAAGTTTGACCCCTTCCTTGACACTACAGTGATACAAAGCTCATCCCCAAATCTCTCTGCTGTTTGCAGAGCAGGCTGCTTCTCAGTATTAGTCAGGGTTTGATTAAAAAAATAACATAACGTCTTTCCAGGAAAGTTGAAATACTTGGATTACATTCTGGAAAGCCTCTATATATCTGTCAGGTTAATTTGAAAACTTGCCAAGATCCCTCTCAATTTGCTTTAAGTCCTATAGATAGAAGGGAACCTGGACCTTACTGGGACCAAATTCACCAAGCATCTGTTGGAAGGGCAAGAGTGAGACTGAGCCTTGTCTAGGGTGAGGATTTCTAAAAGGGGGAAAGCAACAGAGAGAAAATGGATAGTGAGGTCAAGGTGGACCCAGAGGAGCAGGGCTGAAGAGAGCTGGCTCCCCTGGTGGAAGTGTCTCTGGGGTTTGTTTATTTAGTTCCCTGGGATTACTTCTTGCAGCCTCTCCTGAGATGGCAAACAAGGGGGCTGGATCAGTCCTACACTGTTGACAAAGGTCTGGATTACCATGCAAGGTAAAGAAAATCTGCACATATGGGGCCTCAGACCGTTTGCCCTCATGTTTATAGAAAAGGTCCAATTTCAGGATGGTATCAAAATGAATGGTTCCTTTTTGAGGCCCGTCCTTCCTGCAGATCATAATTTGGCCAAAATTTTATGCAAAAGGCTATGAGGCTTTTTTCCTCCAAAACATGAGGGGTCAAAGCAGTCCCAATATTTCAGGATATACTCCAGAAAAGTATAGACTGACAATGGTGAAAGAGAGAGAAATAGGCATCCCTCAATTCCCTTCCTTTCAGTGAAAACTTGGCTTGTGATGGGGAGAGAAAATGGGTGCCCCCTTTTCTCTTCTATCTTTTTTATCCCCAAGTCCTGGCGACCTTAGATGGACACCACACACGGAAACCATTGTGGCCTGCACCCATGAAGAAGGAAGGGCCTAGAGAATAGGAATTATCCGTGCTCACCTATGCCTCCATCCCTGCTACTGCTGGCAGCCTTTAAGTTCCCTGGGCCTTATATATGCCATGGAGCATGGCCTCCTTCTTTGAAGCAAGGGCTTAATTGGCAGGAATTATTCCTGCCCATTGACACTGTGCCTGTTGCCTCCCTTTGGACCCCTTAGATCTGTTTTTTTCTTTCTAGGGCTTCAACTTGAAGTTTGGAATTGAGTTTGGGACAAAAAGGAGTCTCAGGGGGTGCATGGATTCATTTAGATGAAATCTCTTGCAGGCTTTGCCAAATTCTCAGTTATTAGCCAGTGGGGTCATGCCTTTGCTGCTTCCCTATCATAAGCAGAGTGCTGAGGGAGAAAAATAACCCTCTTGCAGAGCAAAGAAAATAAGAAAAAAACAGCTTAAGGAAGGGAAGAACACCTTGTTCTGTGCAAATAGGTTCCTTTATTTACTGTATCCTTCCCCTGCTTTGGATTGAACCGGACCCCTTGGCCGGGGGAATGAAGACTCTATGGGCATGTGGTGGGAGGGAATGATGAGCGGGAAATGCTGGCCAACTGGCTACATGAGGCCCTTGGTGCCCAGGACTGCTCTGGGGCCTGCACAGCAGCCTGGTTCTCTCCCACCCCACGTGGCCATTGGGTGTGTGGCAAGTGCGTGCTGTGGACATGCTCAAGTGCCCCAGCCAGGAAGGGAGAGGAGGGAGGCTGCTGTGCGCTGTGCACCTGTGGCTGTTGGGGTGGGGGTGGGGATGGCACCTCTAAGAACAGATGGAAATCACATTGTTCTGAATTGTGTATCTGATGGCTGGGCCAAATGCTCATTCTACCTAGTAACATTTCTGCAGTTTGCAGCAATACCCTTAACATTATAAAAGAAGAAATAGGAGACCTTTCAAACTGTGAATGTAGAAAGGGAAAGGTACCATGGAAAAGTCTGGGGGTCTTGGCTGGCCGACACTATAATGTGAGGTCAGGGACAGGGTCCAGTCTAGGCACTTTCTGGCAACACCAAGAAGTGGTCTTGGCCAGATGCCTTCAGTCGCCCCAGGACTTTATTCCAGTCCCACGTGATGGCTAGACCTCTGCATGGGAAACAGAGCCAACATTCCTTTCACCTGAAAGAAAAAGAGAGGTTGCAGGACTGCATCCTGACCCCTGCAAGTGGCATAGCTCAGAGGAAAGCCTGAGGACAAGAAGTCTTGGGAAAAATGAAGGGACAGATCCAGCAGATCCGCATTTACTCACCCTTCTGACATATCTCAGACAGGCCCCCAGATGAAGCAGGATATTTCCCTGACCCCTTTCCTGGACTCGCGAAGGGGGTGCCTCATTTACTTAGCCTGCGGCTCTCAACTTCTCGCGAGAGGGAGTGCGCAAGTGAATGAGGCAGGAAGTGGAGTGCACAAGTGCTGGAATCAGCTGGCCACTTCGGCCCCAGCAGGAGCTAACTCCACTCACTCGGACCCGCTGCACTCCACCTCTCATGGGAGGAAACGCACAGGTGAGTGGGTGCAGGAGCTGAGGAGAGCGTTTTTGGGCGCTGACAGAAGCAAACTCCATGTGGGCCCTGCAGCAGCATCTAGGGGGAGTGCCTGCAATCTCTGAAGCCCCAGAGGAGTGTTACAACACTCTTTTAGCTCTGTCGTCTGCGGAGGGCTTAAGTGTTAACAGCTTAGTGGACCCTCTGTCTTTACACGTGAGGCGGCTGCCCTCTACCAGCGAGGGCGAAGGGTCGGTGTGACAGCATTTTGTATCCACACTCGTGGCTCCTCAGCTCTTGTCTGGCATCCAGGAGAAATGAGGTCACACGAATGAATTGAAGAATTATAAATGTGGGGGATTTTATTGCCAATGAAAGTGGCGCTTTTCACGGGAAGAGGAACCAAAAAGCAAACGGCGCAGGAAGGTAATCTTCCCCTGAAGTCCGGCCGCCTCTGGCCAGATTCTTCTCCAAAATTATGCTGTCAAGCTGTCCCTCTGAAGTCAAGCTGCTTCTCTCTGATGTCCAGCCATATTCCCTGACGTCCAACTGCTTCTCCTCTCTGCATGCAGGATGAGTATGGGGTCTTTATGGGCACACAATGGAGGGTAGGGCAGGTTATAGGTAGTTGAGGAAAAGGCAACATTCAACTGGCAAAACAGGGTATAAGTTCTCACTTTGGGCCGTGGTCTCAGGGTTTTTGGCTTGAGAGTGTGGCTTTGCCAGGGATTTGCCCTTTTCTGCCTAGAATTTCTCTGCCTTCTCTCCCTATCAATAGATAGTACCTATTCAGATTTATTTATATTTCTATGTTTTGTAATAATTTTATCATATGTAATTTCAGTGCTTTTGTGGAATAATGAGTGATAAATCCATCAAATAAGGAGCACCAAGAACAGACCTGTAGTTAAATGAGTTGGGTTTATTAAATTGCTGTAACAAGGAAGGATGGACAAAGAGAATCATGGTGCATTTCAGTAGGAAGGGGATTTTCATGGAGTTTGAGCTCATGCTGGGTGACTCTGAAATAGAGATGGGAGGATCAGCTTTGAATTGTGTACATTCATGAAGCAATTTTGCAGCTGTAGCGTGGCTTTAGGAGTAGTATTGTTTTATGTTGGCTTTGCCAGCTGCTTTGTCTGTGTCTGCTGTGTCGGCTACAATCTGATTCTCAACAGGGCTGATTATTTTCTTTCTTGATTCTGGTTAATTTTTACATTTTCAGGTAAGAAGATTATTACTCAAATTCCCGTATTGTTCATAAATCCACCCTTTGTGGATATTTCAGTCCAGTTGCTAATACAAGAACACCAATTCTATATTAAGATATAAACAAAGTCTCAATTAGTATAATTAAATTTTAAAGCCATATTGAATGATAAAAATGTAATAAAGCTAAGAACCAGCATAAGAATTTAAATAAATTTTGAATGCTATAATATTGTCTAAGATGGTCTATAAACAAAGTTTAGGAAAAACATGATCAAAACAGGAACTATAATACAGTTACAAACTAAATAAAATAAAAACACTTTCTACCAAAATGTAAGCTATATAGCCCAACTTTTCATTAGTGCATAATGCATACCTATAAATTATTTATGATTAAATATGAAAAATAAAGTTAAATGAACAAGGAATTTGGTGTAAACCTTTTGTAAAATAAAAATTAATACTTTTATGGAAATCAGAAGAAATCATTAACAGCAGAGCACGGTTAGCAAAGAGATATTGAGTAGAATTTATAAAAATACCCAGAGCATGCTCTTTAGAAAACCAATCCAATAAAAATGTATTACTTGCAAGCCTAATTAAGAGAAAAGATGAGATTACCTTTAACATTAAGCATTTAAAAATTTAATTAACTAATATAAAAGAATACATTCTTAATGTCCTAGGGAATATTCAAATATCTTACAACATGGAGGAAACCTTGAGCTCTTTAGTAGTGCCTTGAATTCAAGGTACTATTCTGGAAAGTTCATTTGCATTTTGTAGTTCAAGCTTATCTTTTAGAAATTAAACTGTTTATTATTTATGTAATTTTATACAACACATCCACACATATCTGTATTATATGCATTTTTAAATATTTTACATCCTGCTTTTAAACCCAATGAACGTTTTTTATATGTGTAGCATGAACAGTTTATAAAGTATACAATTTAATTTCATATATATACATGCACATATATATTTGTTAAAAAAGGTAATCACAAAATGATAAAGTGAGTCCTCGTGCAAAATTATATTTATTTTTCTACAAGGTATGTAGAGACCTCTGAAGATTATTATATTATTATCTTTGGCCTTCATTTTACTGTGTGATTTTCTTTAACAGCAACATCAATAAATGAATTGCATGGAGATTGAGTTTGCTCTTAACATACCCACAATTTGCTTTTTTGGTGGAAAACCATCCTTTCTTTAAATGTACACTTAGCATTTTCTCACTTTTTAAAAGGACACAGTCACGTTTCACATAACGAGGGAATATGGGCTGAGAAATGAGTTATTAGGTGATTTCCTTGTTGTGTACTTACACAAACCTAAATGGTACAGTCTATGTGCCCCTAGGTTGTATGGTATAGTCTATTACTCCTAGGCTATAAACCTGTATAGCCTGTTACTGCACTGAATACTGAGGCAGCTGTAAGAAAACGGTGAGTATTTATCTAAACATAATGTAAACATAGAAAAGGTACAGTAAATATATGGTATTAGAATCTTATGGGACCACTGTCATATACAAGGTCTCTTTTGACGGAAAAGTCATTATGTGGCCCATGACTGTGCATGTGACTTTGAAGTAGACTCACTCCCCATCTTTAACCAGTTAACAACTCCTATACAGAAATTTTACCTTTGTGTTTTGGTTATTTTTGTTGTTTGTTTTTATTTCAGGGTATTACACATAATCAACACACTATATGTAGTGCACTGAGAATGAACTACAGTTAGAATGTAAATAAAAATGTAAATTATGATTAACATAATTAGATTAGTAGGAAATAAAATACTGGTGATTTTTCTGTAGTAGAGATGCCTATTTTTCCTCCTACTTCCACTGTATTCATTTTGCTGAGTATTTCCACATCCTCTCCCATGGCACGGTGCAACTAGAGCCAAAGCTGCACCTACAGTTATACAGTGCAACTACCTAGGCTAATATTAATTGGTTTAGTCATGGGCATCTGATCCAAATGAAATCAATCAGATGTACTGGATAATTCAGATTTACAGACTTCTTATAGAGGCTGGTGAGTCTCTCCTTACTGGGTAGATTGAAGAGATATTTTGATGCAGCTGAAAAATTCATTTTACTAAAAGTGTAAAGGGAAATGCATTGATGTAGGAGCTTAGAGAAACAGACAGACTATGCAACCCCAGAAAAAAAAAGACAGAAAGGAGGAGATGCTTTGTCCTATTTCGTATAAATACGTCTTTCTATTTTTGTTTCAATCCCTGCTCATCTCAGCTACATTTCCTGCTTTGAGGTGATGAAGAACACTCTATTGTAATTTTTTAAACATTCGTATTTTTTTGATGCCCCAACATCCTGATGAACTGGCTGTTGAGCACCTTGGCCAGGTAACCATTTGCACCAGTGTTATAAGGCTGGTCCGTGCCACAAATTCTCCTTCTTGCCCTCACTTGACTGTGACCCAGTGACATTCTAGTGCAACAATAAAATACTCTCATGCCTTTTGCTTGTGTACTGTACTCTAATCCCAATAAAGGCACTTGCCCACAGGTCCTTACTCTCTCCACCTGCTTGGTTGAGCTGCTCCTTGGGACACCCTGCCTCTTTCTCTACAACCTATGAGATAATAAATCCTTTACTTTCATATACCTCCCCAAGAATAATTTCCACAGCTGGCCATGTTGGAATGATCCTTGAAGACCCCACAAAGCCAGCTTAGTCTCCCGTTTAGAACACAATATCCCTATGTGGAGCTTATACCATATTTCCCTGTCATCTATGGTTTCACTTTGTGGTTAATCATTTAAAAATATTAAACGAAAACTCCAGAAATAAACACTTCCTAAATTTAAAATTGTGCACCATGTATTGTGAGTATCCCACGCGGGAAGTGAATCATTTCTTTGTCCAGGTCTCCTCACTGTATATGCTACGTGCCCGTGAGGCAGTAGCTGTCTCAGCTATCACATTGACTGTCATGGTATCACAGTGCTCCTGTTTCAAGTAACCCTTATTTTACTCCATAATGGCCTCAAAGCACAAGAGTAATGATGCTGACAATTCCAATATGCCAAAGATAAGCCATAAAATGTTTTCTTTAAGTGAATAGGTGAAAATTCTCAACTTAATAAGCAAAGAAAAATATCTTATGTTCAGGTTGCTAAGATCTACAGTAGAAATAAGTCTTCTATTCCTGAAATTCTGAACAATATATTGCTTTACTGGTGCTATTTTGTCATTAATGTTAATCTGTTACTGTGCCTAATTTATAAATTAAGCCTTATCATAGCTTTGTGTGTGTAGGAAAAACACAATGTGCAGAGGCTGCGGTACTTTCCATGGTTTCAGGCATCCACTGGGGGTTTTGGCAGGTATCCTTCATGGATAAGGGGAGACAGTTGTACATTTCCATTGAGAGTTTCCAGATAAACTCAGCTTCCTCAGCTGCCTCTGCCAATGACCAGCCCTTCTGTATCTATTATAGGGGACAAGGAGAAACTTTCTCTTCACCCTCTGAAGGTTAACTAAAAATCGCTGACAAGAGGCAGAGTAATAAAAGAAAATGCATACAAATTTATCTGATCATAGTTTTATGTGACACGGTAGCCTTCAGAATTAAGACCCAAAGTACGGGGAAATTGTCCTTTTTTCTGCTTAGGTTCGACAAGGTATGGACAACTCTGTAGAAATATGATTGGACAAAAGGGGTATGATCTAATCTGAGTAGACGTAATGGGGAAATCCAGCAAGGCCTCTCTGTTTAGATTCTTCTTGGCCTCCCTGTGTAGCATTCCTTCTTTTTGAGCATGGGGAAGGATCCTCCCAGGAATGGGGGTCTTATGACAGTCAAACATTGTAGGTCAGATCATTTCTTTCTGGCCAGTTTTACACAGAAAGACATGGGGAAAATTAGAGTAATATTTTTAGATTTTATGCCTGGCTTTGAGGGAAAGGAGTTCTGCTTTCTATGAGCCACTTGGAGAAGAGAGATTCTGGCTTCCATGACTAGCCTCAGGGGAGAATGAGGTACCAGAGGCAGGAGGACAGGGGGAACTCAGAGAGAAACTTTTGCTTCTCAGGCTGCTTCTAAGGTCTTCGTTTTGGGGTATCATTTTTTGAGCCCCAGCTCTACTTTTCTGTGAGGAGGGGAAGGTAACTTTTTCTTGTTGAATATCTGTTCTCTGACAAATGGGGGACTAGGACCCTTAAATACACGAGCTTCTTTAATCATCAATAATCCTGCCTGGTAGGTACTGTGTGCATTCTTCTTGTTACAGAAATGAAGACTTGCAGCTGTGAAACAATAATTTGCCTATGTCACATTGTTACACAGAAACAAAGCTGGGAGTTTAGTTTGGGTATGCTTGACTTTTAAACCAATGATCTGTCCTTAAGGAATTCTCTTCTTTCTTAATCTGGTAACAATAATTATAGAACATTCACTATCTACATCCAGGTAATCACCACCCCAGTCGTCCTAATCCATGAATTTGTCTGAGGTCTAGGCAATTGATAAAATTGTCAGTCTTGCTGTGGTTGCTCTGATTTCTCAGCACAGAGCTAGACCCAGAGGGGCCAAAGCCCCTTACAATTGAAAGCCCAGGGCACATTGCAGCCACCACTCATCTTCTATGTGATAGTAGGTGACACTTTGGGGCACTTGTACAGATGCAGACAAAGCAAATGCCGTTTTATAAGCCTGGTATTGCACAGTGCTTCATCTCTCTTTTCTGATACTCACCTCCTCATTATTATTGTTAGTACTGGGTAATTGAACTTGTTTTTTCTGCAGTCTCCTTCTGAATGAGAAGAGTATGGCTTTGGATAGGGTCGAACTTTGAGGAACCCCAGATGAGAACTTTCACTAGATCCAAACAATGCAGACATAAAGGTGTAAAGGTAGAGTTGAGACCATGTGGATGGGTGGACAGTGGTAACTGGCTGATTTCTACGCCACCCTTGTGGGCCACCTGAGTGGTCTCATATACTGGGACCAATTGACCCAAGACTTGATTTAGGCAGGTGCTGGTCACTGAAAAGAAACTACTGTTTGCTTGAGGGTGCCTTGGCCTCACACTCCTGAATATTGTCAGCATCTCAGCAGAGCTGGAGAGGCTGCTAGGTATTGGAATGGTCAGTGAAAGCCACAACAAGCCGCAATGAAGGTAACTGTGAAGCCTTTCATCACTCGCTGCAAGAGTGTAAGCAAGAGGCTAAAACTAGGAAAGGCACCCACTCCCCCGACTCTGCCTCCATTTCATTTTTCTCCTTGAAAAGGCTCTCTCCTCAAAAACCAGGAGAGAGTTGTCTAACTGTTGAAGGAATCCCAAACAAAAGTTCTTGCAGTTGTGTGGATGAAGGGCCAAGGAGGAGGGAAAGGGGAGAAGAGTAGGTTTTAAAAAGTATTGGGTACCGAGTCAGAGTGACGTCTTCAAGATTCCCCCACCCTCCCACAAGGCGGTCTCAGCAGAGGCGCCTTAAGAGGACCTCTGTTTAAGGCCTCCCGTGATGAGACCTAGGAATAAAGGTGCTGAGGCTCAGGAAGCTAACATGCAAAGAGCATGAGTAGCACAAAGGCCCTGTGCTCTCACCTACAGCTCCCTTCAGAGACTGCAGCGGTCTGGCTGTGAGCAAATCTAATGCAGGGAGAGCAGGTCAGTTTCCCTCGTGAGGCCTGATGGATAAGTCTTTGTAATTGCTAATGGTCAGGCTTTAAACCCATCATGCAAAGATTTTCAACCAAGGGCCTGACTCCTGAAACGCAGTGCTTCAAGCAATCAGGGTTGGGACAAAAAAAAAAAAAAAAATGAAACCGATTTGCCATCCTGTCCCAGGGAAAAGTTATACGTGAAGGAACTTATATTCTTCACAGTTTCGTATTTTGTCTTATACCCACATTAGTGTGTGCCTTTGTGAAATTCTTCTTTCCTCATAGGCATTTCTGTCATGGTTTTAAACTTATTTAATTATTAGATACTTACTATTTAAAATTCATTTTTAAAATTAATCTGCGTTGCTTGTAAAGTCCTTGATGATTCTAGTTACTAAGTTCTGATGATTGGCCTAAGTAAATAAACTGTGTATGAGGCCGTGCAATGATTGGGATGTTTTTGTTGTTTTCTAATTCAGAGTGATTTAATTTTCATAAGGTTCAATTGGTCTGCATCAGTCTGTAATACTATGTTCCCACATAAGTGAACTGTAGAAACGACTTGCACAATAATGTAGGAGTATCACCAACTCCAATACTAAAAGTATTACATGTTTATTTTGTTTATTTTCTGTCCCCTACCATCAGAATTTAAGTTCCTTAGTTCTAATTCCATTAGAATTTAAGAATTTCATTAGCATTAGAATTTAAAAATTCCATTAGGATTTAAGAATTCCATTAGAATTAGAATTAAATTATAGTTCTATTAGAATTTAAGTTCCTTAGAGGTAAAGGGGTTTTGTTGTTGTTTTGTTTTCTTTTTGGTCTTGTTTTAATCATTGTAGTATCTCTAACCCCTAGAATAGCGTTTGGCACATAGATGTGCCCATTCATGTTTAGTGAAAGAATCAATGAACAAAGTTGGCATTATATGAAATAGATGTTTTTTGCTTTTAGTAAATATCTAAAATACTTTTCTAAATAGATGCCACAATATAAAATGACAAATGTGTGTTCCATATTCACAACCTATAGTCATGTTTCAATGCAAGGGAAACAAAATCAAATGCTTTCATATGTCAAGGCATCTATTATGACCTATGGTCATGAAATCCTCAGATAATCACCCGTAGTCACCTAACAGCCTCTGATGCAGGGTTAACCCAGGAACCCCTCACTGGACATCCTATTTATTACTGCAACTCTACTAACCTGTCGACCAAAATACTTTCCTTGACCAAACTCTATTGAGACTCCCTTGAACTTTTCAAATAGGTTCAGCTTTTCGAGTTCTGTGTTCATGTAAACATTGGCGATTTTAACTAAAATTGTGCTAAGTCAATTTAACCAGGGCCCCCCACCCCTACCTCCCCAATATCCCATCAGGTTTCTCATCCTCTATCATCCTGCAGGTCTGACCACCCTGGTCTGCCTTTGGCAAGAATACTCTTAGGTCAGTTTAGCCAGAATCCTTCTTCCCCCTGAGATTTCCTTTTGGTAATTTTTTATCTGCTGACCCTCACCCTGCTCCTTGGCTCTGAGTCTGCACTTGTCCATGCTTTATTCAGAATTGAGCCTGGTTCTACACTGAGATTTCTTTCCCCCCATTGCAATAGTGCTGAGTAAAATCTGTTTTTACCACTTTAACCACTGTCTCGCTCTGTTTTTTCTTTGACACTGTAACTAAGAAGGAAGACGCAGCTCTTCTCACTTCCAGGGTTAATAATTGCTCAAGTCATTGATTTCATTAAAAGAACACATACTCAAAGAGAGTAACATTTGAAGATGATAAGGAGAAATTGCACAAGTTATTCTTGGACTGAATCTTGGATGCCTCACATAATTTGACTCATATATTCTAATTTCCTTTTTAAATTTTGTATTTAAGGATACTCACTCTAAAAGGACAGAAGTAGCAACACCTCATTTTGATTTTATCACTGTACCTTCATGGGGGTTGTGATCACTCAGTGGCTCTTATTACTGAGCTCTGTTAATAGGCTTATGTCATCAGACTTCACATTGGATGATTCTGAAACTTAATCTTTTAAATCTCAACACCACACTATTTCCCTGCCACAGTTATTAACACATGGGCATAGTTATTAACATTACTAGATGATATCAAACAGAATTCACAATTTTAATAATAGTAGATTTTAATAATACACAAAGTATTGACAAATTATTTCTATTTCTTGCTTATGTAACTATAAAATTGATTTTGATATGACTTTCAACCTACAAATATGCTAAATTCACTAATTAATTTTAATATATTATATGTATATGTAAATTATTTTGGATTTCCTCTGTATAATAAATTGTATAGTCTAGAAGTAATGATTTCTATTTCTTCCTTTCTAGTTCTTAAATAGTTCTAGTTCTAATTCTTGTCTTGTCTTAATGTACCAGCTGTATTCTCTAAGAGGATGTTGATTTAACATAACATGGATATTCTGCCTTATTTCTGGACTCAGAAAAAAGTTTTCAACATTTTAAACTTAAGGATGATACTGTCTGTGCATACTTTGTTTTTTAACCAGATTAGGAAAGTTCTGTTCTAGTCCTAATTTCCTTATTTTCTAAGATTTCACATTATGAATGGGTGTTGAATTTTAACAAAAAATGTTTTTTTTTCGCAGCTAATGAGCTTATGCTATTTTCTATGTGTCCTGTTAATGCAGTGAATTTTTGTGATTTACTTTTAAGTGTTAAATCAACCTTGCTGTACCAGAATCAACTTAACTTGGTTGTCATATAGAGTCCTTTTGCTAGAATTATTATATTAAATATTTAGAAATAAATATAAATTGTTTTTTGTACTGTTACTGGACTTGGTGGGATAATAATATTTCTGTAGTGTTTACATATAGTGCAGGGTGGGAATTCATTCAATTTTCCTTGGTTGCAGTGTTATCAAGGTTAGCCCGACTTCATAAAATTAATTGAAGAACTTTTTCTGGTTCTTTTCTTTAGAAGAGTTTATGTGATATTAGCATTATTTCATGTTTGAAATTTATTGGTAAGACCACATATATAGAGAATATTCCTTAGAAGAAAGTTATAGATTCAATATCTTACTGGATACAGGCTTATTCTGATTTTATGTTCCTTCTTGAGAGTGTTTGAATACACAGCATCAGTATGAGAGAATTTTAAGGGATGATGAATATTTTCTTTATTCTAACTTTGGTGTTGGTTATCCTAATTCCTGAATGTGGTAAAATTTATAGACTTGTGTGAGAATATACTATTTCAAATTACGAAGAAGCTTTGTCAGTGAGAGTTTCAGGTCTTCTCTGAGAAAGATTCATTTCCGAAACTCACTCTGAACATACCTGGTTCTCTTCGGTTTTTAGTGGGTTTTCTTGTCCTGGGTCTCAGCTTTGGAATATGCTCATAAAATTACTAGGATAGGTCCTATTCTAATTAAACTTTTGAAAAACTTGTTTGGTTTTATGGTTAAAACTCTTTCCTTTCATTATTTTCTGCTGACCTCCACCTTAGCCTAAACTATTCAGTACTCAGCACCCAGAAGCTCAGTCTCTGAATTCAGGCTCTCAGTCCTGCTTGAAGTTGGCTCCTTTCCTGAATTTGGACATCCTTACCTGGCCATGCACCTAGGCATAGCACAAGATTCCTTCCTTCCACAATATAGAGAATCATATTTTTCTTAGAAATTTAACCTCCTTCCAACTAGTGAGCACCAAATGTGATAATAAGATACCTTTCAACAGGTTTATGAAATTTTTACATGTTTTGGATAATATAAAATCAAATATTGATATAGGTTATATTAGAGACGATAGATAATTTTTAATAGAATTGAGAACCCATGAACCTTTGAAACAAGAATTTTATTAGGGTCATTATACAGCTCCATCTGTTTTAAAATTTGAGATTCACATTATAAAAAATTCCATAAAAATGATAATGAGAAAACAATAAAACAGACATTTAGTTATCCTAAAATTGTTTACTTCATTTCTTAAAAGCCTCTTGCTATAAATCTCAAACACTTTTCTAGGTGAAAAATATTTAGTCAGTTAGGTGCTTGTAACATGGAGAGAAAGAATGCTTTCAGTTATAATTTGGTAAACTTGGCAGTCTACAAAAATGTGAAAAAATACCTGCATTCTATTCAGCATAGACACAGTGAGAAAAGTACAGAGATTTATCCAGAATAACATGGATATTGTAGCACATAAATCTTCTTGGTTTACCGGCCCTAAGTTTTATCTTTCTATTGCAAAAATGTTTTAACTTTCCATCAGTGAAAATTGCCAAGAGGCAAAAACTTACTAACAAAAAAAGTTTTCCTTTTGAAATCCACACAGAAAGATATGTATCTGCCTGGACACATATTGACTTATATAAGATAGGGACACATCACCCCATCCTCAAACTCAAACCTGAATGCATTTACCTGCCCCATAAGAACTGCAAGTTTCTTTTCATTAGCTATAAAAAAGCGTGTCTTCTAGGCTTTAGCTGTTTCTGCATTGTTTAATAAACTTGACAATAAATAAAGAGTTGACCTAAAGATTTACTATTCAGTCATGTGGTATAATAAAAAATACTTGATCTTTGTCTCTGGTTCCTGTCACAGAGATCCTAAAACCCCAGACATTTCCTAAGTGACGAGTGTTGTGTATTATTAGTAATGAGTTCCCTAACAACCATACCTGAGTTTTTGTTAATCAGGTGACTCTAGGTGGGCCCCTAGATAGCTTTGGGATGGGGACTGATAGCCAGAGGAACACACTGTATGATTAGGGGTTTGTAACTTTCAGCCCCTTCCACCCTAAATTCCAGAGGGAAAAGAGGCTGGAGGTTGAGTTCAATCACCAATGATCAGTGATTTAAACAATTGTGCCTACATAATGAAACTTTCATAAAAACTCCTAAACAATGAAGTTTGGAGAGCTTCCAAGTTGGGGGACACATGAAGGTGCTGGGAAGGGAGTGCATCTGGAGAGGGCATGGAAGCTCCACACTCCCTAACACCATACCTGGCTCTATGGATCCCTGTTGATATGGTTTGGTTCTGTGTCCCCACCCAAATCTTATCTCGAATTGTAATCCTCACATTTCAGAGGATGGGCCTGGTGGAAGATAATTGGATCAAGGGGGTGGTTTCCCCCATGCTGGTCTCCTGATAGTGAGTGAGTTCTCAGGAGATCTGATGTTCTGAAAGTGTTTGGCAGTTCCCCGGTCACTCTCCATCTCTCATGCCACCTTGTGAAGAAAGTGCTTCCTTCCCCTTAGCCTTCTGCCTCAGGAAACCCTTGTTTCCTGAGGGCTCCCCAGCCATGTGGGAACTGTGAGTTAATTAAACCTCTTTCCTTTATAAATTACCTAGTCTCAAGTAGTTCCTTATAGAGTGCAAAAACGGACTAATACACCTTCCATCAGGCTATTTGAGTTGTATCTTTTATAATACACTGGCAATGGTAGTTAAATGCTTTCCTGAATTCTATGAGCTGTGCTAGAAATCACTGACACTGATGAGGGACATTGTGAGAATCCCTGAATTTATAGTTGTTCCAGCAGAAATGTGGGTATCTTGGGAACCCCGTTTTTGACTTGCATCTGAAGTTGGGGCAGTCTTGAGGGACTCAGGCCTTAACCTGTGGGATCTTTTCTAACTCTGGATAGCTAGTGGCAGATTTGAATTACATTTGTGGATACCCAGATGATATTGGAGAATCAGAGAATCCATTGATGTGAGGAAAAAATAACTCAAGTCAGCAGATATTAAACATTTGTTGAACACATGGCTGAATAGCAACATTATTCTCTACTCTTTCCAAAGGGAAAATTTTCTATTATTTAATTGAATGTCAAACATTTTGTTTACTTTGCCTCTGCTCAAATTCTATATCTTTTGACATAGCAAAAAGCAAGTGATGTGAAAGTTTTATTCTCAGAGGCCAATTTGTATAAAGTCCTAAATGAACATATAGCATTTATTTTATTTCCAACCAAGTTGATTTATAATGCTCTGAATTATCCATTGTCTGTGTTTATTGTTTTTTTCTTACCAGATTGTATATACACTCCTTGAGTCAGAGGCAGTGTTTACCTACCCAAGCTGAAGCCTAACATTGTCCTAGAATATAGTGGTAATGCAACATTATTTATTGATTGACTTGATATGAGATTTATGTAATGAAGAATGTGTTTTTTTATTCTTGTCTCATTTTTTATGGAGTTTTAGGTTTCACTTTGTTTCCTGGTCCACAATGCACTGTAACTCTTGAGTTTCATCTCCGTCTTTATAGCTCCAATTATGTGGAGAACATTTTGCCAATGCTGAGTTGAGAAGAGAGAAAAGTCTGAGATGTAGAGAGACCTCAGTTAAGTTACTTAACCTCCTGGAAACTCAGTTTCTTCAGCTGTCAGATATGGTATACCTTAATAATGCCAATTTCATGAGCTGTCATTAGGGCAAGTGAGAATCCATATATAAATCTCCTGAAATATTTGGTAGGCATTAAATATGTGTCTCTTTCCCTAATGGGAAAATAAATTGTCTTGCTATTGGTCTGGAGGTATGCTGTGGACTAGCATACCTCCAGGATATAATTTAAATAATACATCCCCAACACTTTTTTCTGTATTTACATTACATAATCATTCTTTTATTTAAGTAAATACATGTACTTACAAAATATTTAGCAATCTTAGAAAATATAAATCCCAAGATTTCACTGGTAAGTTCTTCAAGAGAGGGCAAAAATCAAAGCTTGTCTCACCATTCATGTTTGTTTATTTCTCTCTTTTTTATTAAAATATTGTAGAAGAGACATGGAAACATTATAATGATGCCAGTAAGGAAGTGATTGGTGCTGTTAAATTGGGCAGACAAAACGTTTTGAGGAGAATAAAGGCGGTAGAAAGAGAACTTGCAAAGGGGCAAAGTAACTATTTTAGCAGTGATTAATATGCTATGACCTTGTATTGCATTTTTTCAGATCACAATTTCTGAAGTCAAGTGCATTTTATATAACATATCAGACAAAAGGGACAATGGTTATTTATTTGAAGTTATTATGATTGTTGAACATATGTTCTGTGAGGACTGACTTATGACTAGTTTCCATTTTGAACTTGGAGGAGTTTTGCTTATAAAAATAAAGCCTATAACACAATCACAGTCACTAAGTATGTTGAATGCTCTATCTGAGCAGCCTAGAGAGTTATTGTATGTTCTTACACTGGATCAGTATAAAAGAGCTAAGAATGTTTGTTTATGTATTTGTTTAACAGGTTATCTGGTTGAAAAAATAACAAAGAAAAATGTGTAATATAGATCATGTGTGGCTTACTAACACTGAACTGTTTACTACCTGGCCCTTTAGAAAAAAAGTTTGCTAAGCTTTGCTGCAGAATATTAGACATGTCAAAAAATTTTTGAAGACCTGTCACATTTGCAATATTTAATTTTTCTGTGTTCAGATTTGCATAAGACAGTATTAATTTCTCATAGTTCCAAATAAAGTAAGGGAACCATAGATTCTTAATGTTAAATTACTTAAGTAACAATATTGTTACTTTGAAATGTAGCCTGGAAACATTTGAATTTAACTGGAACATAATCAATTAAATATCTTGCCTTACCTAGAATTGTGTTTTGAGGTTTGACACACATTGAACCCTATCATATGAACTTGCCACCTTGTATTTATCTTTGAATAATATTAAGAAGCAATGACTACTGATGTGCATGGGTATTAGGATATGTGTATTTTCAATTTTAAGCTGATGGCTAAATTGTTTTCCAAAGTGGAATAGTTCTACAGTGTGAAATTTAAGCACGAAATCTATTATACCTTTTTAGTAGGTAGTCATTATAATGCCAAGGAAATTTTATTTTATTGTATTTATTTATTTATTTTTATTATTATTATTATACTTTAAGTTTTAGGGTACATGTGCACAATGTGCAGGTTTGTTACATATGTATACATGTGCCATGCTGGTGTGCTGCACCCATTAAATCGTCATTTAGCATTAGGTATATCTCCTAATGCTATCCCTCCCCCCTTCCCCCACCCCACAACAGTCCCCAGAGTGTGATGTTCCCCTTCCTGTGTCCATGTGCTCTCATTGTTCAATTCCCATCTATGAGTGAGAACATGTGGTGTTTGGTTTTTTGTCCTTGTGATAGTTTACTGAGAATGATGATTTCCAATTTCATCCATGTCCCTACAAAGGACATGAACTCATCATTTTTATGGCTGCATAGTATTCCATGGTGTATATGTGCCACATTTTCTTAATCCAGTCTATCATTGTTGGACATTTGGGTTGGTTCCAAGTCTGCTATTGTGAATAGTGCCACAATAAACATACATGTGCATGTGTCTTTATAGCAGCATGATTTATCGTCCTTTGGGTATATACCCAGTAATGGGATGGCTGGGTCAAATGGTATTTCTAGTTCTAGATCCCTGAGGAATGGCCACACTGACTTCCACAATGGTTGAACTAGTTTACAGTCCCACCAACAGTGTAAAAGTGTTCCTATTTCTCCACATCCTCTCCAGTACCTGTTGTTTCCTGACTTTTTAATGATTGCCATTCTAACTGGTGTGAGATGGTATCTCATTGTGGTTTTGATTTGCATTTCTCTGATGGCCAGTGATGATGAGCATTTTTTCATGTGTTTTTTGGCTGCATAAATGTCTTCTTTTGAGAAGTGTCTGTTCATGTCCTTTGCCCACTTTTTGATGGGGTTGTTTGTTTTTTTCTTATAAATTTGTTTGAGTTCATTGTAGATTCTGGATATTAGCCCTTTGTCAGATGAGTAGGTTGCGAAAATTTTCTTCCATTTTGTAGGTTGCCTGTTCACTCTGATGGTAGTTTCTTTTGCTGTGCAGAAGCTCTTTAGTTTAATTAGATCCCATTTGTCAATTTTGTCTTTTGTTGCCATTGCTTTTGGTGTTTTAGACATGAAGTCCTTGCCCATGCCTATGTCCTGAATGGTAATGCCTAGGTTTTTTTCTAGGGTTTTTATGGTTTTAGGTCTAACGTTTAAGTCTTTAATCCATCTTGAATTAATTTTTGTGCAAGGTGTAAGGAAGGGATCCAGTTTCAGCTTTCTACATATGGCTAGCCAGTTTTCCCAGCACCATTTATTAAATAGGGAATCCTTTCCCCATTGCTTTTCTTAGGTTTGTCAAAGATCAGATAGTTGTAGATAATGCGGCGTTATTTCTGAGGGCTCTGTTCTGTTCCATTGATCTATATCTCTGTTTTGGTACCAGTACCATGCTGTTTTGGTTACTGTAGCCTTGTAATATAGTTTGAAGTCAGGTAGTGTGATGCCTCCAGCTTTGTTCTTTTGGCTTAGGATTGACTTGGCGATGCAGGCTCTTTTTTGGTTCCATATGAACTTTAAAGTAGTTTTTTCCAATTCTGTGAAGAAAGTCATTGGTAGCTTGATGGGGATGGCATTGAATCTATAAATTACCTTGGGCAGTATGGCCATTTTCACGATATTGATTCTTCCTACCCATGAGCATGGAATGTTCTTCCATTTCTTTGTATCCTCTTTAATTTCATTGAGCAGTGGTTTGTAGTTCTCCTTGAAGAGGTCCTTCACGTCCCTTGTAAGTTGGATTCCTAAGTATTTTATTCTTTTTGAAGCAATTGTGAATGGGAGTTCACTCATGATTTGGATCTGTGTTTGTCTGTTATTGGTGTATAAGAATGCTTGTGATTTTTGCACATTGATTTTGTATCCTGAGACTTTGCTGAAGTTGCTTATCAGCTTAAGGAGATTTTGGGCTGAGACAATGGGGTTTTCTAGATATACAATCATGTCGTCTGCAAAGAGGGACAATTTGACTTCCTCTTTTCCTAATTGAATACCCTTTATTTCCTTCTCCTGCCTAATTGCCCTGGCCAGAACTTCCAACACTATGTTGAATAGGAGTGGTGAGAGAGGGCATCCCTGTCTTGCGCCAGTTTTCAAAGGGAATGCTTCCAGTTTTTTCCCATTCAGTATGATATTGGCTGTGGGTTTGTCATAGATAGCTCTTATTATTTTGAGATACGTCCCATCAATACCTAGTTTATTGAGAGTTTTTAATGCTAAGGAAATTTTAGTCTTTCCCTACTTAAGCTAGAAATTTGATTTTAAGAAATGCTTTTTCTGCATATATTGATATAGTTATACATTTTTTCACTTATTTTTAATTCTATGAATATTATATTAATGAGAAAATATATTGATTCAATTATAATTTTAAATAATACTTTCACATCTTAAATAAATTCAATTAGGCATGAATCTCCAATATAAACAAACTCCTAATTTTTTTTTTTTTTTTTTTTTTTTGAGATGGAGTCTCGCTCTGTCGCCCAGGCTGGAGTGCAGTGGTGCAGTCTTGGCTCACTGCAATCTCTGCCTCCCGGGTTCACGCCATTCTCCTGCCTCAGCCTCCCAGGTAGCTGGGACTGCAGGCGCCCACCACCACATCCAGCTAATTTTTTGTGTTTTTAGTAGAGATGGGGTTTCACCGTGTTAGCCAGGATGGTCTCAATCTCCTGATCTTGTGATCTGCCCACCTCCACCTCCCAAAGTGCTGGGATTACAGGCGTGAGCCACCGCACCCGGCCAACAAACCCCGAATTTTATGAGACTTATTATGTTATTCTTTGGTCATAAATATTTTCATATTTTCCATGAATCTCATCTAGTAGCCATGATGTTTAGACGTTTTTGTATTGCATTAAATAACAGAATAATAATTGCTATTTGTATCTGTGTGTTAATTTGAATCTGATTACATCTTAATGAGATATTTCTTGAGAACATGTTCCTTATTTTGTAATATCCTTTTGCCTCTACATATTCTATTTTATTTCTTAATTTTATTTCTATTTTACATTTATCTATCTGTTACAGCATATTTCCCAATGTTAAGCTGGATATATTATTCACATGATCACTAGAGTCATTGGTCATGTGTCCTAATGAAATCTAAACACAGGAAATTCTTCATAGATGTTTCTAAAATAAAATAAAATAGAAAGGAGTTTATTCTGTGCATGAATCAATTAATCTTTACAATTTTTGAAGCTATATTATTTTTCCCATTTTACTGATATAATAAGTGGAGCTCCAATAAGTTGTTCCGCAGTATGATAGCTCTGGGTTCGTATCTGTGACCAGTCACAGATATCAGTGTTGTAACAAGCTGATCTGAAAGATGCAATGGAATAGTAATAGGAGAGCATTGTTGCCTGAACCAGAAGGATCAGTAGCCCATAGACTGCAGTTGGCATTGTCTGTGCGTGAGAGGATGAGGGACTTCTGGTACATAGGACTCATGGGTCCCAAACTTTTGTCTGGGTGGCAGTCAGTGGTCATGTGGTTGGTTTGAACTATATCCCCACTTATGGGGCATCCTGGTTGGTGGAGAGAGAAGCAAATATTTCATACTAGCTTAGAAAGAGTCACATGGATCTACTGAGGCATCATTGTATGCTGATGGAAAAGACTTAGTAGCAGGGCAGAAACTAGTCATTTGGTAGATAAAGTAGACAATTGCAGGAACAATGAGCATGGGAGATAAACTGGCCTTAGACGATAGCAATTGCAGATAACCAGGATTGAGATTTTTGCTAGGTGGGTGAATAGTCCTGAGGAAAATTTATAGTGAGAGTCTTTTTAGTAAAAGAGCATGATGTCCTATGTCATAAGAGGGAAAATCATTATGATGTTGGCAGCATACAATTTTTTAGTCCTTGATGACATTAAAACATTTTTAAAGTAGCGTATAAGATTCAGTAAATTTGAAAAATAAGAAGTACTTACTAGAATAGGACATACCAAAAATCTAAAGGCTAAAAGTAATGCATTTATTGATGATAATAAGGCCCAGAAAATAACTATGGGAGATGATGTTTAAAGTGTGATGAAGATACAGATGATTGTAACTGAAAAGTGCAAGGATCTGTATAGCCTGGTTTTAAATTGTTTCTTCTCTCAGTTAAGACTCTTCAATCATTCCAGTTGCTCAGGTCAAAACTCTTGGTGTCATCATTTTCTCCTGTTTATGACACACTAAACGTCATCTTATCAATAAGTCCTGTCTTTTCTATCTTTGAAAAAGATAGATTTCTACCGCTTTTCTTCATCTTGGCTGAAAGTACCATTTTCTCTTGACTGGATTATTTCAGAGGCCAAATAGTGGATTTCTCTTTTTTGCTCTAAAAGGGAAATAAAACTCTTTCCATTTATTATCAACGTATTAACAAGTGAATCTATTAAAATAGGATAATTCAGATCATAGCATCTTCTGCTCCAAACTCCCCCATAATTTTTCATCCAATTTAGAAAATCAACAAAATTTTACTGTGTGTAACCATTACCTACTGTCATAATCATGTTGGGTAACAAATTATGCAGAATCTCAACAACTTAAAACTACAGCACTTTATTTATGCCCATAGCTTCTATGGTGACCATCTAGGCTCAGTTTGCACTTGGTTCAAGATGTAGATTGGGTCCAATTCTGTTTCTTGCATTCTTTATCATTACCAGTGAATGCTGCATGATAAGTCAAAGGCAAGATGCAAGAAGTAGAATACAACAATATGATACCAAGTCTAGCCTGTCATTTTAGATAACAAAAACAAATGCTATGAAAGGATTAGATACCCAAAAGATTCAAGGGGCAAAGGTCAGTGAAAGACAAAAGGGGTAGGCCATATTAGGCAGGAAGAACTTTCAATGCAGTTACAATGCAAGCCTGACAAGGGGAAAGGAAGAAGAAATGGGTAGGATGAATCTTAGATTGCGGTGGAGTTGCAAATTTTGGCCATATAACAATGCCAAATCCTTGAGTCTCATGAAAGGGAACTTGCATTTCATAAAAATGTGCCAGCAGTAGTGCCCATGCAATGCTCAGTCACTGGCTAGTAATAACACAGTAGAAACATAGTCTGTAGCTGGACATGGTGATGAATCAGAGGGATAGCAGTCAGGGCTCTCAGTCCAATTACACCCCTATCATCAGTTTCCTTTGTAGAAGAGGTGAGCAGCACATTGGCTTGGCTGCAATGCCAGTCACATTCCCAAGCCAACATCATTGGGGCAAGAATGTATTTCCTCCAATGGAAGTAGGGAAGGGAGGGTTATTTAAAAATAATCCAATTCTCTTGGTAGCAATTGTGAATGGGAGTTCACTCATGATTTGGCTCTCTGTTTGTCTGTTATTGGTGTATAGGAATGCTTGTGAGTTTTGCACATTGATTTTGTATCCTGAGACTTTGCTGAAATTGCTTATCAGCTTAAGGAGTTATTGGGCTGAGACGATGGGGTTTTCTAAATGTACAATCATGTCATCTGCAAACAGACAATTTGACTTCCTCTCTTGCTCTTTGAATACACTTTATTTATTTCTCTTGCCTGATTGCCCTGGCCAGAACTTCCAATACTATGTTGAATAGGAGTGGTTAGAGAGAGCATCCTTGTCTTGTGCTCATTTTCAAAGGGAATGCTTCAAGCTTTTGCCCATTCAGTATGGTATTGACTGTGCATTTGTCATAAACAGCTCTTATTATGTTGAGATATGTTCCATCAATACCTAGTTTATTGAGAGTTTTTAGCATGAAGTGGTGTTGAATTTTATTGAAGATGTTTTCTGCATCTATTGAGATAATTATGTGGTTTTTGTCATTGGTTCTGTTTATGTGATGGATTACGTTTATTGATTTGCATATGTTGAACTAGCCTTGCATCCCAGGGATGAAGCCAGCTTGATTGTCGTGGAGAAGCTTTTTGATGTGCTGCTGGATTTGGTTTGCAAGTATTTTATTGAGGATTTTTTCATTGATGTTGGGATAGTGGCCTGAAATTTTATTTTTCTGTTGTATCTCTGCCTGGTTTTGGTATCAGGATGATGCAGGAATATAACTTATAAGGGATGTAAAGGACCTCTTCAAGGAGAATTACAAACCACTGCTCAAGGAAATAAAAGAGGACACAAACAAATGAAAAAAAAATTCCATGCTCATGAACAGGGAGAATCAATATCGTGAAAATGGCCACACTGCACAAAGTAATTTATAGATTCAATGCTATTCCCATCAAACTACCATTGATTTTTCTTCACAGAATAATAAAAAACTACTTTAAATTTCATATGGAACCAAAAAAGAGCCTGTATAGCCAAGACAATAGTAAATAGCCCATACAGCCAAGACAATAGTAAGGAAAAAACAAACAAACAAACAAACAAAAACCAATGTTGGAGACATCACACTACCTGACTCTAAACTACGCTACAAGGCTACAGTAACCAAAAGAGCATAGTACTGGTACCAAACAGATATATAGAGCAATGGAACAGAACAGAGGCCTCAGAAATAACAACACATATCTACAACCATCTGATCATTGACAAACCTGACAAAAAGAAGCAATGAGGAAAAGATTCCCTATTTAATAAATGGTGCTGGGAAGACTAGCTAGCCATATGCAGAAATCTGAAGCTGGAACCCCTTCCTTACATCTTATAGAAAAATTAACTCAAGATGGATTAAAGACTTAAACATGAACCTAAAATCATAAAAATCCTCGAAGAAAACCTAGGCAATACCATTCAGGACCTAGGCATGGGTAAAGACTTCATGACTAAAACACCAAAAGCAATGGCAACAAAAGCCAAAACTGACAAGTGTGATCTAATTAAACTAAAGAGCTCCTGCGCAGCAAAAGAAATTATGATCAGAGTGAACAGACAACATACAGAATGGGAGAAAATTTTTGCAATCTATCCATCTGACAAAGTTCTAATATCCAGAATCTACAAGGAGCTTAAACAAATTTACAAGAAAAAAAAGCAACAACCCCATCAAAAAGCAGGCGAAGGATATGAACAGACACTTCTCAAAAAGACACTTTTGAACAGACACTTCTCAAAAGACATTTATGTGGCCAATAAACATACAAAAAAAAGCTTATCATCACTGGTCATTAGAGAAATGCAAATCAAACCACATGAGATACCATCTCATGCCAGTTAGAATGGCAATCATTAACAAGTCAGTAAACAACCAATGCTGGCAAGGATGTGGAAAAATAGGAACGCTTTTTCACTGTTGGTGTTAGTATAAATTAGTTCAACCACTGTGGAAGACAGTGTGGTGATTCCTCAAGGATCTAGAACCAGAAATACATTTTGACCCAGCAATCCCATTAGTGGGTATATACACAAAGGATTATAAATCATTCTACTATAAAGACACATGTACATGTATGTTTATTGCAGCACTATTTATAGGAGCAAAGACTTGGAACCAACCCAAATGCCCATCAATGATAGACTAGATAAAGAAAATATACACCATGGAATACTATGCAGCCCTAAAAAACAATGAGTTCATGTCCCTTGCAGTCATATGGATGAAGCTGGAAACCATCATTCTCAGCAAACTAACACAGGAACAGAAAACCAAACCCCACATGTTCTCACTCATAAGTGGTAGTTGAACAATGAGAGCACATGGACACAGCAGGGGGAACGTCACACATTGGGGCCTGTTGGGGGATAGGAGGCAAGGGGAGGTAGAGCATTAGGACAAATACCTAATCCATGCAGACCTTAAATCCTAGATGACAGGTTGATAGGTCCAGCAAACCACCATGGCCCATATATACCTATGTAACAAACCTGCACATTCTGCACATGTATCCTAGAACTTAAAGTAAAATAATAATAATAATCTAATTAAAGAATATGGGACATACACATCTACATGAATCAAGCTTTTCTTTACCTCTCTTACCTTGTTTATTACCACCATCATCTTGTTAATTCCCCTCTAGCCATACTACTGCCTCATATTTTTCAGAGCACACCAGACATGCTCCTATCATAGGGACTTAGCCTGAAATGCTTTTTGCTCAGATGTCTGCATGGCTGTCTTTCTCATTTCTGTCTGATGTTTACTCAAATGTCAACCTGTCAATAAGGCTTTCCCTGATCAACTTTTCTAAAATCTTAATTTCCATCACTAGAAAGCTTACTTCATAAATTGCTTTGAGAGTTGATCCTATCCCCCTTTTCAAGTACAGGTTAGATTAATCAAGGAAAAATGTACATATAATATTGTACATTCTCATTTGCTACAGTCTCCTAGCTGGTGTAGGAAGCAGGTAATCTAATTTTTCTTAGAAAGTAGCACTATGAATAATTTAACAAGTGTTTGCCCTCAGGAAAATATTGAATTTAGAGCTTTTTGCAAATAAATCAATATAAGAACAAATCCTACAATAGTTAATTTTTAGGAAAAATGTCCAGGCATAGGGGAAAGCCAAGTGCTTCTCCTCCATCAGTTTCTTCACCTTCACTGGAGATAATCAAAGAAATAATAATAGGCTGGATCTTTGATTACCAAATATGATAAAATAATTCAGTCAAGTTTCTTGCTGTTGTACAGTGTAGCAAATAAGCACTGTGATGGATAGCCTTACATGTCAACTTGACTGATCTGTAGCACCCAGTTACTTAGTCAAACATGAATCTAGGTATTGCAATGAAAGTATTTTGTAGATATTGTTAACATTCTTAATCAGTTGTCTTTAAGTAAAAATTATCCTTGACAACCTGAGTGGGCCAATTCTAATGAGTTGAAAGGCCTTAAGAGGGAAAGCAAGGTTTCCTTTAGGAAGAAGAAATTCTACATGTGAATTGCAGCCTGAAGATTGCCAGCTTGAAGGCACACCCCATGAATTTTGGACTTTCCAACCCTCACAATTATGTAGGCCAATTTTTTGAAAAAAGTCTCTCTCTCCCTTTCTCTCTCTCTCTCTATCTATATATATATAATGTACATACATATACATGTATATATTAAACACTACTTATCAGGAGACCATTAAGAATTCTGATGGTTTGCTTTTCCATACTTCATTTGAATAACTGTGAAATAGAAAGAAGCATTCTTAGTAAACGGAATAAAAAAGTAACCTTCTAAAATACGCCAGGCAGTAGACTAGATTCTTTTATACGTGCTATTTAAAACTGAATTATTTTAGAAAACACATACTCCCATTTTACAGAGGAGAAGGTGGAGGTTTGGATACTAAGAGAAAGCAATGTAATCCACAGTAGCCATGAATAGGAGTCATGCAGATGTGGGTGTGTATCCCACTAGCTCCTCCATGTGTTAGATAGATGTTTTAGGCATCATCTGAGACTGTGTTTTCTCATATGTGAAATGGAAATGACAAGACCTATCTTGCTCAGGTAGAGGTTGTAAGGACTAGTTAGCATATGTGAATGTTTAGCCATGTGTCACACATTGAGGCACACTCAGGGTGTTCAAAAACTGTTTGCAACCTTAATTTTCTAAAAATCAAGATACCATAATTTGACTGCCATTAGGCATACTGCCTGTTTTCTTTGTAGCCTTTTCCACAGTGCTGCAGAAGGTACATAAATAGCCCTGTAGCCCATAGTGTCCTAGATTTCACCATGAAAGCCAATGGATTTCTCCAACTTATATTACCAAGGGCAGTTATAAAGAGGAATTCGGCCCACTGCTATCTCTGGAACCGCCTAATATCTGTTTTTCTATAAGTGAGCTTACAAAGGACTGATTTAATTTCTTTGATATTTTTGACCAAATTTTGACAAAAATAAACTGCAAGATCCCTGAAAAAGCATTCCATTTGGTTTATATTGGGACTTCTTAACCACTGAAGTTTAAACAAAACAAAACCAATCTATCACTGTTATTTGATAAGAAATTACATTTTTCTTCTTTATAATCCTCCAAACTGCACTCAGATTTTGTCTTCGAAATAGCTGATGTATTTTTTTGCCCTCATTTCTCTGAGGGGGGAAAAAGACTCCCAAAAATAGCTAGATTTTTACTCGTACTCTTTTTTTTTTTCCCTTTTAACATGAAATGATTGAATTTGCTGGTGAAAGAAGAGCATTTATGAATTGCAAAAGCGTGCCTTCTGATAAATACTTCATCATCTCTGAAAAATGAAAGCAATAAAAAATGCAATAAATTCTGTTTATGGAGGAAGAAGCAGACTAACATCTTGCAATATTAACTTCAGAGAAATGTGCCAGAGAGTGAAACTGGTCAGTTCTTGCTTATTGCTCTGGCATCTTAGATGTGCAGGCACATGCTGTTCCTCAGAGATCTAGGGGCTCTCATAAGAAGCTCTAGATTCAGCCCTACTCACTACCCTTGCCCCACCCCACATCTGCCAGAGGAGTACAACCTTACACACTGAATTCCTTGGTGTAGAGAGGCACCTTGGGCATTAGTCAATCAGACGGCTGTGTGTGATGTTGACCCAAATTTTAAACCAGGCTTCGAGGTGTGCTGGCTGCTTGCCTCTGTGGCAGGGACATGATACTTAACCTCTCTGAGCCTTTACTTCCTAATTTCTAAAATAAAGATAATACCTGCTAGGAAGTTTTAAAAATTAAAAAGAATAATATAATGTATGTGAGGTATTAAACAAAAAGCATAGCATGTTGTCTGATGTTTGCTATTTATATTATTAGTACCATTATTGTTTTGTGGTTGTTAACATGGTGTTTGGGGACTTGGGTTCTGATGTCAAACAGACTTACTTAATTTTCAGTTCCAAATCCAGCTCTGTGTGACCTTGAGCAAATTCTGTAATATCATCATGTATTAGCTTATTGATCCATATGAATGGGATAACATGATCGCTTCTCTCACAAAGTTGTTGTGAAAATTAAGATGTAATAATAGAGTAACATAGTTATGGTTATTACTTAATTTCAACCCTGAAGGTACACTAATGTACTAGATATAATTATTATTAACATACCTTGGAAGAAACTGAGACTCATAACATTTATGAACATCAGTTAGTAGAAGAATTTGAATCCTATTCTCATCCATTCTTAAGCCTGAAATAGTTTCAAAACATAGCTCAAGGCAGTGATCTATAGAAAAAACTGAGAACCATCCTTGACTTCTCTTGTCTCATGCCAAACCAAAACTGTCAATGAATTCTCTTAGTTCTGACTTCAAAATGAGCCAGATTGTGACCACCTCATACAGCCTCCATCACACTTTCCCAAGCCAGGCCATTATCTTCTCATACCTGAACTATGTCAGAAGCCTGCACACTGGTTTCCCTGCCGAAAGTTTGCCTACAAAGCTGATTTTCATCTCAGAAACCACAATGATATTTTGAAAACAGGCATGAAGTCTGTTCAGTAACCTCTAAGAGCTTTCAGAATGAAAGACAAAGTTCTCACCAAGGCCTACGGGGCTCTAAGGGACCCATCCCTTATTGACCATCTGACCTTCTCTGCTGCAAACCTGGTTCTTCATCATTCAGTTCCAGCCACATCAACTTTACTGATGTTCTCTAAACAAACATACAAGGACCCTCCTGCCTCAGGGCCTTTGCACTCTCTATTACCACTGCTTTGAAACTTCCCCCAGATACCAGTTTAAGTTATCTCTTTGTTTCTTTCAAGTACTCCTCAAAGGTCACTGCATCAGAGAGGAATTCCCTGACTACTGTACACAGGAAACAGCACTTTTCTTCTTTTCACCATCACCTACTTTATTTTAGTTCATTGTACTCAGCACCACTTGACCTCTCTCTACCAGCAGAATCCCAGAATCAAAGTGTTATGTTTATTTCTTATCCTCCAAACATGTGACAGTGCCTAACATATGGTAGGTGCTCATTAATATTCCTTGAATGAATGAATAAATGAGTTAATTACCTTATGCTCTGTGTGATTACAGAACCCAAAGAGAGGGTTGATATATTGGATTTTTTTTCTGATTCCTCAAAGAACCACTGAAGAGAAATTTAGGCAATAAAAATGTGAACTTCTCAAGGGGGAGGCCAGAAAGAATCCTATTCACCTTCCAAGTAATTCAGATATTTAATGAATGTAACTTTGTCCTCCCTGGAAACTCCCCAGAGGCATAGAAGCAATGTAGGTTTCTCTCTACTTAACACCTAGCCAGTACTGACAGCATAGACCCATGAGTCTAATTCTTAATTCTTGTTAAAAGAACTGAGAAGAATGAGAAATGGGCTGCATAGAATTAAGGAATTTGTAATCAGTTGATTAATTTTGGGTTATTCATTCTGAGCTGTAAAGAAGTAAATGAAGTAGATGATGACTGGCTGCAGTAAATTTGGTATAGTCAAGCAAAAATAAATAATAAAGCGAGTTCTCTATTAGAGTTTTTATCTACAAGAATTTTATAAGCAATGACACAGAAAAAGAATCTATCCACCAGGTGTCAATTTGAGCACATCAGATAGCAATGTTTTATCCACCAATCACAGCTTCCCTACAATTTGCTAATCTCCTGAGATGGATGCTGAAAGCTGAATTAATCCAGACTGTCAACTCAGACTCTCACCATTGGAATACAAAATGGTATGTGCTGCAGAATTTCTTTAGTCAGAGAAATTGAGAAATCTCTCTTGTGTGGGGCTTGTGCTCTTCACAAGCACAGTTCATAAGCAGTGCAGTATAACCAAAATAATTCATTTTAAGGAGTAGAGATTTTTTAAATAGAAGAAAGAATTTTCAGTAAGAAATAGCTATTCTATCAAATACGTACCTTTTTCTTCTCCCCAAGAAATTCATCTATCAGAAGACTCAGAAAGCACCCAAAAGACAACCATGGCTATTTCTTCCCAGTTTCCACGTAACTATGATTTCTCTTAGACTGAACTCAGCTCTGCTGTATGCCTTCATATGAAGAAAATATCAACTTTAAAGCTTTACCTGAGTTTACAGCACATTCGAGTTAATATTGCCACCCATCGTGAAAATGGGCTTACAACGTTAGAATTTGGGTTTGTAGGGGACAAGGGAAAACTTCCTCTTTGCCCTCTAAAAGTTTGCTGAAAAATCAACTCACAAAGGTCAGATTAATTGCTTAAAAGGCATACTAAATTACTACAGTGTATATGGGGAGAACCGCAGAGTGGCAGCCCACCCCCTAAGATGATGCAGAAGCTTTTCTACTATCTTGAGGTTAACAGAGTAAACCAAGGTTCAGCGCATGGCCAAGAATAGGTTGTCTTAGTATGTTTTGTGCTGCTAAAAAGAAATACCTGAGGCTGAGTAACTTATAAAGAAAAAAGGTTCACTTGGCTCATGGTCCTGCAGGCTGTACAAGAAGCATGGTGCCAGTGTTACAGACTGTATTTGTTCATTTGTGTTGCTATAAAGAAATACCTGAGACTGAATAATGCATATGAAAAGAGGTTTGTCTACCTCATGGCTCTGCAAGCTGTACAAGCATGGCACCACCATCTTCTCAGCTTCTGATGAAGCCTCAGGAAACTTTTGTTCATGAAGGAAAGTGAAGGGGGAGCAGGTGTGTCACGTGGTGAGAGAGGAAGCAAGAGAGAGAGAAAAGAGGAAGAAGAAGGAGGAGGAAGAAGAAAAGAAGAAGAAGAAGAGGAGGAAGAAGAAGAGGAGGAGGAGGAAGAGGAGGAGGAGGGAGGAGGGAGGAGGAGGAGGATCTAGGCTCGACTTATCAGCCAGATCTTATATGAATTCATTACTGCAAGGAGGGCACCATGCCATCTGAGAGGGATCTGCCCCCATGATGCAAACACCTCCCACTAGGTACCACCTCCAACATTAAGGATCACATTTCCCATGAGATTTGGAGGGAACAAACATCCAAACTATATTATTTCACCCGTTCCTCTAATCTCATATCTTTCTTGCATTGCAAAACACAATCATTCCTTTTCAGTAGTCCCCAAATGTCCTATCTTTTTCCAGAATCGACTCAAAAACTCAAAGTCCAAAGTTTCATCTGAGACTCAAGGCAAGCTTCTTTCACCTATGAGCCTGTAATATCAGAAACAAGTTATTTACCTCCAAGATACAATGATAGTACAGGCATTAGGTAAACATTCTCATTCCAAAAGGGAGAAATTAGTCAAAAGCGAGGGCCAACAAGCTCCACACAAATCTGAAACCCAGAAATAAAAACATTAAACCTTAAATCTCTAAAACAATTTTTGACTCCATGTCTGACATTCAGGGCACACTGGTATGAGGTGTGAGCTCTCACGGCCTTGGGCAGCTCCACTCCCATAGGTTTGTTGAATGCAGCTCCTGTGGCTGCTCTCACAGGTTGGACTCTGGTGCATGCAGTTTTTCCAGGCTGCATGAGCATGCTGACTATGGTTCTACCATTCTGGGTCTGGAAGGCAGCAGCCCCGTTCCCACAGATCCACTAGGGAGTGCTCCAGTGGGGACTCTCTATGGGGGCTCCTAATCCACATTTCTCCTTGGCACTGCCCTAGTAGAGGCTCACTAAGTATCCGGGCTTTTCAGTACATGCCCTGAAGTTCAAATGGAAGCTGCCAACTTCTTTCACTCTTGCATTCTGCATACCTGCAGACTTAACACTACACAGAAGCTCCCAAGGATTATGGCTTTTGCTCTCTCAAGCAGCAGCCTGAGTTGCACCTGGGGCTATTAGAACCCCAGCTGGAGCCAGAGCAGCCAGGATGCAGGGAATAGTGTCCAGAGGTAGCACTGGGGAGTTGCATTCTGGGCTTGGCCCCAGAAACAATTCTTTCCTCTTAGACTTCTCAGCCTATGATACAATAGGCTGTCAGAAGGATTTATGAAATGTCTTTAAGACCTGTTTTCTATCATCTTGAATATTAGCACTTGGCTCCCTTTTAGTCATGCTAATCTTTTTAGCAAGTGGTTGCTCTGTAGGCCCCCTGAATTCTTCATCTGAAAATACTCTTTCCTTTTCTACCACAAGCCAGGTTGTGGATTAATTAATTTTTTATGTTCTGCTTATCTTTTAATTACAAGTTCCAACTTTAAGTTATTTCTTAAATTTCTTCTTCCAGATATCCTATGTTATTACTCTTAAGCTCAATCTTCTGCAAATCCTTAGGGCATGAACACAATGTAGCCAAGTACTTTGCTAGAGTATAATAAAGGTGACCTTTGCTCCAGTTTTCAATGACTTCCTCATTTTCATCTGAGACCTTATTAGTTTGGCCTTTACTGTTCCTATTTCTATTCAGCATTAGGTCACAGCCATTTAACCAGTATTTAAGATGTTTCAAACTTTCTTTCATTTTCCTCTCTTCTTCTGAGCCCTCCAAACTCTTCCAACATCTGCCCTTTTCCCAGTTCCAAAGCCACTTTTACAGTTTCAGGTGTCTTCATAGCAACACCCTACTCCTGGTACTATTTTTTGTATTAGTTAATTTTGTACTGCTATAAAGGAATATCTGAGACTTGGTAGTTTACAAAGACAAGAGGCTTATTTGTTTTATTGTTATGCAGTCTGTACAAGTGTGGCACCAGCATCCCTTAAGCTTCTGGTGAGGCCTCAGGAAGTTTTCACTCATGAAAGGAGGTGAAAGGGGGACGAGGAATGTCACATGGTTAGAGACAAAGCAAAGAAAAGAGTAGGAGGTGCCAGGCTCTTTTTAACAACCAGATCTTGTGTGAAATCATTACCAAAAGGAGGGCACCAAGCCATTCAAGAAGGATGCACCCTATGACCCAAACACCTCCAACTAGGTCCCTCCTCAAACATTGGAGACCACATTTCAACATGAGATTTGGAGAAAACAAACATCTCAACTACATCACTGACCAATGGGTTCTTGCCCACTGCATAGAAAAAGCCAGTTCACTCAGAGAGCAGGTATTGCAGCAAAGAAAGTGTTTACTAATTGGAAGGAAGCCAAGCAAGGAGGATAGGAGATATTTCTCAAATTCACCTCTCCAAGAATTTGGAGGCTAGGGTTTTTAAGGATTGTTTGGCAGAGAGGGGACTAAGTAAGGAACATTGCTGATTGGTTGGGTCAGGGATGAAATCACAGTGGTGTCAAAATTGTCTTCATGTGCTGAGTCAGTACTGGAATGGGGGTCAGAGGACAAGTTGAGTTAGTTTCCAGGTATGGGTCACTGGTCCAAGTAGTGTTAGTTGGTCCACAAGAATACAACATTTTAAAAATGTCTCAAACATCAGTCTTCAGTTTCACAATAACAATATTATCTATAAGAGCAAATGGGGAAGTTACAAATCTCATGACCACTGGCTACATTACTCCTAGGTGGTAAGCAATTTTAGATAGGCAGTTTAGGGAACAATGGCTGGTCACTACTTAACTATGCCTATATCTCAAGAGAATTTAGGTTTCTACCGTTGTTGTAACCATGTGGCTTTGCATTAGTTTTACAAAGGCAGTTTTAGTCCCTGAACAAGGAGAGGGTTAGTTTGGCGAAGGGACTACTATTCTTGTTGTAAGGCTAAACTATAAGCTATTTTCCTTCCATAGTTAGCCTGGCCTAAGTTCAAGAATAGGTAATGACAGTTATCTTATGAGGTTAGAAGCAAGATGGAGTCAGTTATGTTAGATTTCTCTCATTGTTATTATTTTGTATGGGTGATTTCACCAGCATCTGCTTCTGTGAGGACCTCAGAAAGCTTCCAATTATGATGGAAGGCAAAGGGTAGCAGGCCTCACATAACAAGAGAGAGAAATCAAGAGCAAGGGAGGAGGGAGTTAGGGAACTTTCAAATAATCAGTTCTCATGGGTTCTGATAGGGAGCACTCACTCACTTCTGTAAGAATGATGCCAAGCCATTCATGAGGGATCCACTTCTATAATCCAAATACCTCTCACCAGGCTCCATGTCCAACATTGGGGATCTCTTTTCTTTCCCTTCCCTTCCCTTCCCTTCCCCTCCGTTCCCCTCCCCTCCCCTTCCCTCCCCCCTCCCCTCCCCCACCCTTCTCCCCCTCCTCTCCCCTCCCCTCCCCTCCCTTCCCTTCCCTTCCTCTCTTTGTTTTGAGACAGAATCTCTCTCTATCACTCCATCGCCCAGGCTGGAGTGCAGCAGCACGATCTTGGCTCATTGCAACCTCCACCTCCTGGGTTCAAGGGATTCTCCTGCCTCAGCCTTCTGAGTAGCTGGGAAAGTGGCATGTGCCACCATGCCCAGCTAATTTTTGTATTTTTAGTAGAAATGAGGTTTCACCATGTTGGCCAGGCCGGTCCTGAACTCCTGACCTCAGGTGATCCACCTGCCTTGGCATCCCAAAGTGCTGGAATTACAGGTGTGAGCCACCGTGCCCAGCTGGGGATCACTTTCCAACATGAGATCTGGAGGGGATAAACATCCAAACCATGTCACAGGTGATGGTGTCAAATTAGGTTATAGTGGCAAATAGGTTAAGGGAGGGAGAGAAAACTTGACTAGCAAAGGTGCTCTCGATAGGTCAGTGAAACCTCGCTGGTAGCAGCCCGCAGAAAGAATAAATGATACATGTTTCTTTCAGATGTTTAGAGATGTCAGACTCTCAGTTCATCTTTCCTAGAACCAGAGAAGGGAAGGCCTGGCTGTATCGTGGAGATTCTCTATAGATGCTAATTTCCTCCACAAAAGACAGATTTTCAGGACTACATCTGTTGCTGTTTCTCTGACAACCATCTCAAAATATGTCAAAGAAATATACTTTGGGATAAAATACTTTTATTTCTTTCTGGTTGCTGAGTAAGTCAGATAAGAAGAAAAAGAAAAGAATAAAATAAAAGAACTGGTAGAAAAACATAAAAGAACGAAGACAGGCTAAATCCTCCCCAACACACACACACACGTACATACACAAACACACACACACTGAGTAGCATGAAAAGGCTCTTAAGAGTCAGGTAGCACAGTGGTAATAATCGTCATTTCCATTAGAACCCCCTGGGGGGTGTTCAAAGAATTTAGACACTCAAGCTTTCCCCACAGGATTCTCACCAAATGGCTTGGGAGTGGCCATGCAGTAGCATTTTTTACAGACTTCTATGGTGATTGTAATGTGCACCCAGGACGGATAGTCACTGCATCAACCAAATTTTGGAAATCTCAAGAGGTTAAGTAATTTAAAGAGCTTTGTGGTCCTGAGGCACACAGTCAAAACTAAAACCGAGTTTTTTTTTCTCTTAATTTATGACTCTTTCTCTGTATTCAATGACACTATCTCTGGGCCTGTCTTGAAAGCTTGATATAATTACATGGCCAAAATTAGGATACCATGACATTACCATGTCCTCTGAAATTTGAAAGAAAGCCCTGAAGAACAAGTATTTCTGAGTGCATCATTTAATCATTAGGAGCATCCTTCTTAAGTTGGCACACTGCACTGGTTCAATATACAAAGATAAACCAATAAAAAGTTGTATTCTTAAGAACTGAGGCTATATTACAATAATCACAATATGGTGCCAGCCATGTTTTCCTCTCACTCTCCACAATGCCAGGACTCTGTGCATTGTACTAATGGTAACTCAGTGGCCAACTGACAGAGGGAATGATCCCAAGAGAGGACAGCCACTTCCTGTGATGGCGCTGGACTGTTGCTGCCATGGCCCTGGGCCTAACTGAAATGAATTGTCAGTTTTCATTGGTATGCACTTGCACACCCCAGAGCTAGTTGGAAAGGCAGATGATCCAAGTCACAGTCAATCTTAAAATGTTAACTCAGAAACAGAAATGTGCTAAAAGTAAATTTGATCTTGCAAACACACAAATATAAGATACGGCTGGAACATCCATCATGAGAGGAAAGAGGCAGCTTCCCTCATGACTTCTTTTATCTTTCATCACTAAATATAATTTTGCTCTTTTACCATAGTAACATAGGATTTTCTTCCCTCCACAGCCATAGTAATAGGAGTTTATTGTTACATGATTTTTCCCCTTTACAAATGCAGTCAATTTCCACGGTCTATTTATAATAATATGTATTTATATTCATGACTATTTAGAGTATGAGGAAATATTGTATTTTCATATTAACAAATATATAAGATGCTCACAGGAAATTTTAATGGGAGGTTTGATGTAAGTTTTGCTCTAGAGGAATAAATATTGAAGCCAGCTAAAGTGTTACTCATTTGTCTTCTTTAAATATTTCACGAGATTTTTTCAACCTCCCTTTGCAAATGCTGACTCCACTATTACTCTATGAATGTGTTTCTGAACTCTAAAAGAGTTGCAATGATTAGCCTACTGTGTTTATATACGTTAAAGAAAATGTGCATTAAGCCCAAGCCTTACAAGTAAATGAAAATATCAGACTGCTAAATTTAGTTCATAGTTGCCAGGGGTCCAAATCATGTGAGATATATCTTAGTAGCATTTATCAAGTATGTTTTCTGTGCAAAAGTGATAAGCCACTTTGTAGGTATTATTCTATATAATGTAAGACTTAGAAGTACAGAAACCAGTGTCCTCAATTTGTAGGTGAGAAAACCAAATAGAGATTCTATGACTTCAATGTTGTTCACCTAATAATTAACTGAGCTTATTGTTTCAATTTTATGAAGTCATAGGTTTAACTTTTGACAATATATTAATGAACTGAAAAATGCTGCAATTACTATCAGTGTGCCTAGTGAGATATATCAAATCACATAAAAAGTACAGCTCCTCTACAGAGTTGTTCACCTACCAAACACTGAAAGTCAAAGCTAGAAAATAAGTGAAATTCTTCACTTTATATTGATGGAACAGTGAACATTATTATCTAGTCAATGTTGCACAATTATCTAGTACTAAATTAATGTTGAGGACTAGCCAATGTAATGCTATGCTCAGTTAACATTTTTCTTAGACTGAATATACTTTCTAAGCTGTCTCATGGTTTGCTTAAATAGATACTTTGAAAGTTCACTTTGAGCATTTCACTAAGAAGCTGAACGAGAAAGAATTAGATGCGTATTATTTTATTTTTTTATATATTTTTTATTATACTTTAAGTTCTAGGGTACATGTGCACAACGTGCAGGTTTGTTACATATGTATACATGAGCCATGTTGGTTTGCTGCACCCATTAACTCGTCATTTACATTAGGTATATCTCCTAATGCTATCCCTCCCCCCTCCCCCCACCCCATGACAGGCCCCAGTGTGTGATGTTCCCCTTCCTGTGTCCTAGTGTTGTCATCATTCAGTTGCCACCTATTAGTGAGAACATGCTGTGTTTGGTTTCTTGTCCTTGCAATAGTTTGCTGAGAATGATGGTTTCCAGCTTCATCCATGTCCCTACAAAGGACATGATTTTTTATGGCTGCATAGTATTCCATTGGTATATACGAGCCACATTTTCTTAATCCAGTCTATCATTGTTTTCATCAATATTTTTTCTACGTTACAACACTTAGAAAGGACACCATCAATTGTTTTCTTTCTTTGGCCCACTGTCATCTCCTTTTTTGTCTTCTACATAAGTGAATGAAGGAATCTATTCAAGAAACCATTGATAGAGCTGTTTTCCTTATATGTAAAAGTGGAAGAATAGTTCCCCTGTATTAGTTATGCATGATGAGTGGCTCAAAGGGGAAATATAATAACAAAAAGAAAAGGAAGGGGAGGAGTGCACAGTCACTAAAATCACAGATGTGATTTTCAAATCCCACTTCCGACCACCCTACTCCCCAAGACATCACTTTCAGCTGTGTCATTTTGGGTTATTTAATCTCTAGCTATCTCGGTGCCATCTTTGAAAAACATAAATGATTCATATCATAGAATATATGGAGATTTAAATGAAATAACACATATGAAACAATTATCAAAGTGCCAGGCATATATTGTTGACAATAAATATTTATTGTGTATATATTATATGTCAAATATCATTCTGTGTTTTCATTCATTGTTCCCCTTAACCTCAGAAGCCAAAAGTCATATTGTTTACCACTGTGCTCTAGTGTCCCCAGTTGCTATTAAATGTAGCTCTATGGCTGAAAGATCAATGTCTGTATTATTATTCTGTCTCTTACAAGCTGTGTGAAAGGGCAGGCTGTTGTTTAGGCATAGAGATTCGGTGGTGGTGGGGCTCTGAGCCTTAGTTGTATCTGCAAAATACAGTTATTTCTACCTCCAACAGTACTTTGAATTTGCCTCCTATCACAGGGCAAGTATATGATAAGCATTTAATGTGTTTCATTAAATCTACACATCATCAGTAATAAGAGACACCATTATTTCATGTTCTACTGAAAATCTTTAATATGTCAATGAAAATATAATGCAATACTTTCTTATCACATTGATCTTAAGATGTTTTGTTACTTCAGAGATGTAAGAATGTGAAAAGAAATATGCATCTTGGAATAAATAAAATGCAGTATTAAGCACTATTTTCCTTTCTAGGAAATACAGGCCACACCCACTCACCCACTTCCTAGGAAAAATTTGTCCACATTATTTGTCCACATTATTATCACTGATACAGCATATCAAGTCATTTGCCCAATTCTTCACTTTCTTGAGGCTGTGTTATACATTTATGTCCTTACCCTAGCCTCTTGGTCAGTGTTTTTTCACCCCTTGACATTTTACTTGTGTATAGGACTTGATAAGGTTAATAAAGGGTTCCTCAGTCTCAGCACTAAGCTGAATTTGGGGTTAGATAATTCTTTGCTGTGGAAGACTGATATTTAGCATCACCTCTAACTTCTACCCACTAGTTACCAGTAGCACCCCTGCCTCCCTCCGAGTTGAGGCAACCAAAAATATCTCCAGACATTGCCAAATATCCTCTGGGGCAAAGGATAAAATTTACCTTGTTTAGAACCACTGGATCAATGGTATGTTATGGGCTTGGCATAACTAGAGGCTTGAATCTTGTTTGCATGATGGCGCTATTTCTCTTACACTATGGTGTCCAAGCATGAAAAGAATTTCCCCTGGCAGTCTTCTCCTTCACCCTGAGCTTCAGAGTGAATACACATGGAGCAAACCTGAGCCCAGTCCATAGTTTGCAGCAGAGTCAGCCTGCTGAGCCCAGCCTAGATCAGCCAGTTGCATCGGGTTCCTTTTCTTGGGCTGTTCTTTCCATTGGCAAGAGCATATCCTCTGGTAGTTTTTTGAGAAAGACTATATTCATTTTGGGAGTCAGTTTTTAAAAATTTGAATTCTAGCTTGGAAATCATTTTCTCCTGGAATTTTGACGGTGTTGCTTTATCATTCTTTTGCTTCAAGTGTTCCAGAAAATCTAGCACATAGAGATGTTCAGTGGCATGAACCTCACCACTGATCTAGGAAACCTGCCTTTTCTTTCCCACTCTGGGACTTGAATAGATCTTTAGTCCCAGGATGCTGAAATATCATGATAATATGTCTTGATGTGCTATTTTTACATTTAATCATTTAATGAGCTAGACAGTTTTTGAGTCCTTTCACCATAATCTCAGGTATTTTTTTTATTAATGGGAAATTATCCTGTATTATTATTTATTTAAAATCCCCACCCTCCTTTTTTTCTTATCTCTGTGGACATCTTGCTAGTTGCGAGACATATTTTGTCCTTTTGTTCTACTTTCTACAGATTTTTTTTTTAACTTTCAAACTTTCTACTGCAATTTAAAATTTTGTGTCTATATATGAATATATATATAAATTTGCAAGAACTCTTTCTTGTTTTTTTTTCTAACATTCTGCATTTTCTCATTTTATGGATTCACTGTAACATCACTGTAGATAATATGGATATGTAATAAATAAAATAGATGTACTTAAAATGCTATTACTGTATTTTCTGCTTTCTTTGAGTTACATTTATTTCTTTTAAAAACTTTTATTGGTCCTTGTCTTTCATGCCATCGATTTCTATACATACTTTATTCTAGACTGTTAATTCATATTAGAGTGAGGCACTGAGAAGCACTGTGGATACCTTATGTTTTGGGGTCTCTAAACCTTTTTCTTTTGTGGTAGTCAGTACTCTGTAGAGGAATCTCCTAATTTTCTGCTTGAATAGAGAAATCTCTCTTCAGCATTTTAAACCTGAGAGAAAAAATGGTGTTTGGGTGGTGGGTAGGGGATGCTTTAATAATTTGATTTAATAATTTTAACAGTATCTTTCTGCTGTCAGTATGGCACCCTAACTCCACCCTTAATTGCCCATACTATTTCCAAATTCAGGACCACTCTGATTCCGTGTCTCCAAAATAAGTGTTCCTTGGAACACTTACTGGACTTGGAATTTGAATTTTCTTGGTCACGTACTTCGATATGTTACTGATACACTGTAGTTTATATTGAGAAACAGAAGATTCAATTCAGTGAGCAATGGATGGTAGAGAGATAATCACCAGGATAGATGATAGGAGGAGGAAGATCTGAAAGTCACATTGACCCTTATGTGGAATTAAAACAATACTACTGGCCATGCGCAGTAGCTCATGCCTCTAATCCCAGCACTTTGGGAGGCCGAGGTGGGTGGATCACCTGAGGTCAGGAGTTCGAAACCAACCTTACCAATATGGTGAAACCCTGTCTCTATTAAAAATGCAAACATTAACCGGGAGTGGTGGCGCGTGCCTATAGTCCCAGCTACTCAGGAGGCTGAGACAGGAGAATCGCTTGAATCTGGGAGCGGGAGTTTGCAGTGAGTCAAGATGGCACCACTGCACTCCAGCCTGGGTGACAGAGCGAGACTCTGTCTCAAAAAAAAAAAAAAAAAAAAAAAGAGAAAGAAGAGAAAGAGAGAAAGAAAGTAAAGAAAGAAAGAAGAAAGAAAAAGAAAGAGAGAAAAAGAGAAAGAAAAAGAAAGAAAGAAAGAAAGAAAAGAAAAGAAAAGAAAAGAAAAGAAAAGAAAAGAAAAGAAAAGAAAAGAAAAGAGAAAAGAAAAGAAAGAAAAATACTCCTGTATTCTAGCCCCTAGCCTGCCCATAGCCTTCCAGATTGTCTGATGTCTCCAGTTACAGAGCTTTCCTAAGGTTCTGCAGCAGGTATAAATTTGTTTCTTGTAGGCAACTATCTCTCAAAACATTTCAGTTTTCACTTTCTTCCCTCTGAGTCAGCTACCATTCTTTCATCCACTGTTTATCTTCCAAAAATTTGCCGACATCTTTCCCCTTTCATTCTCTTTACCTTATGGATTAATATATTTTCTTCATCAACTGACATTTTAACAGATTTTTACAAAGGAGCTGAGACAAATAATCATGTGTAATTAATCAGATTTAGCCAGAAGCTGGAAATAACATTTTAATAAATGGCATAATAAAAATGCATGACATGCTTGTAACATTTGAAGGCAACTGAAAGGTGGGAGAAATATACAATATTGAATAATCAAACCAGAGATTCAAAATTTATCAGCACATTGATATTATGGAGCTGAGTCTACTGAATGTAATAAATGCAATTTAACCAATATGAGTATAAATTTAGTATGTAAATTCAAAAAATTAGGTGCACAAATGCAAGATATACAAGAATGTAAACAACTCCAGAAGGTTAGGTGAGTTAAAACTGACTTTGCATCATCAGTGTGCCAGGAGTGCTGAAAAAGCCAATGTGCTCTGAGAAGTTTGGTTGAACTTTGTATTTCCAAGCATAGTTGTAATATTCTGGGCCATAACCTCTAATAAGTTACTGATAAACTAGAGTGTATATGGAGAAAGAGAACAACATGGTTTCAGGATTTTACTTATTTTGATATTGTTGGGCCAATTTATCCTAGACGGGTGAAAACTTAAGAAGGAAGGACAGTTAGCATTAGATTTTTAAAAAGTCAAACTGGAAGAGCATAAACCCTTATATACCATAGAAATTAAGGGCAGAATTCATGGATAAAGTTAATGAAAGGCTATATTTGGTCCGTTATAAGAAAGAAATGTTGACCAAATCTGGATTACTGATGGATCAGTAATGGTTAAAATGTAGGTATACCACCATCACAGGGCTTGACTTTTGAAGGCTATTCTGTCAAGCTGACTTTCAGAGGGTGCTTACTTTGAACTAATAATGAGGCTCAGTACTTCCAGATTAGGCTATCAGGCAGGAACTTGAATTATTATCATTTTCCTTTGGAAAAAAAATGAGATTAAGTTGGGTACTGAAGTCTACAGACTAGTTAATTAGGATTAAAGCCAAGACTTTTGATTCTGTGGCCTCTGCTCTTAATCCCTCAGGATGAAGTCTCAGATTAGTATGAAGCTTCCCTGACCATTCTCTGCTCAGCCAAGCCTCGCTCCCACATCCAACCATGATTACCTCTTCTCTTTAATACCTGTGAGCACTGTGCACTCAATAGCCCTTTGTTGGAAACTGTCCCTAAGTAGTTTCATATAAAAACAATACCTGGAAAGATGGAGAAGAAACAACTATTCTGCTGGGCAGAGAGGATGGAGTGCATCAGCATCCCAAAGGAGTACAGCCAGCATTATAGAACTCTGGGGTTGTATCTCCAGCAGAGCCACAGAGTGGGAAAAGCCTCAGGTTCTAGGGAAGCAGAGAGATCCCCACCCATGGTGGATTTGAGGATATGTGAGAATCCTAAAAAGGCAAGCATCAGTTTCCCACACCACCATGCACTACCTCAAAGGGAAAAATGAAAGAGCAGGATACAGGGAAAGCCTGGATTTCTTTTTTTCTTTCCATTTATTTTATTTAACTTTAAAAATTAAATATAATAATTACACATATTTATGGGATATATACTGATGTTTCAATACACATAATGTATAGTGATCAAATCATTATAATTAATTAGCATATCCATCATCTCAAACATTTATCATTTATTTGTTGAACATTCAATACCATGCTTCTGTAACATATTAGAAATTCTAGTCATACTATAGTGGTATAAAATACTAGAACTTGTTCCTCCTATCTAGACATAATTTTGTATCCTTTAGCAAATTTCTCCCTACCCCTTATTTCTGCTACCCTTCCCAGCCTCTAGTATCCTCTGTTCTACTTTTTATTTCTGTGAAATCAACATTTTTTTAGCTTCCCCATATGAATGAGAACATGTGGTGTTTTACCTTCTATTCCTGGCTTATGTCACTTAACATAATGTCCTCCAGTTCCATCCATGTTGCCTCAGAAGACAATATTTCATTCTTTTTTTTTAAATGGCTGAATAGTATACCACATTTTCTTTATTCATTCATCTGTTTTTTAATCCATTCATCATCCAATCAACCTAGATTTATTTCTTATCTTGGCTATTGTGAATAGTGCTTCAATAAACATAGGGCTGCAGATGTTTCTTCAATATAATGATTTCCTTTCCTTTGAATAAATTCCCAGTAGTGGAATTGTTGAATCATCTGGGCACTCTATTTGTAATTTTTTGAGGAACCTCCATACTGTTCCATAGTGGCTGTACTAGTTTACTTTAACAACAGTGTATAAGAGTTTTCTTTTCTATGCATTTTCACCAGCATTTGCTTTTTTTTTTTTTAGATAGCCTTCTTAACCAGGGTGAGATGATACATCAGTGTGGCTTTGATTTTCATTTCTCTGATGATTAGTAATGTTGAACATTTTCTCATATATTATTTGTTGGCATTTGTGCCTTCTTCTGATAAATGTCTGTTCAGATTATTTGCCCATTTTTAAATCAGATTGTTTATTTGAGTTCCTTGTATATTCCAGTTATAAATTCCCTGTCAGAGGAATAGTTTAAAAATATTTTCTTCCATTCTGTAGGTTGTCTTTTTACTCTGCAGACTGTTTCCTTTACTGCACAACTTTTAGTTTGATATAATCGCATTAGTTTATGTTTCATGTTGCCTGTGCTTTTGAGGTCTTATTTATAAAATCTTTTCCCAAAACAGTGTTCTGAAGCATTTGCTCCTATGTTTTCTTCTAGTAGTTTTATAGTTTCAGATCTTACATTTAGGTCTTTGATCCACATTGGCCTGGTTTTTATGGGTGAGAGGTCGGGGTCCGGTTTTATTCTTCCTTATATGAATATCCAGTTTTCCCTGCACCATTTATTGAAGAGACTCTCTTTTTCCCAATAAGCGTTCTTGGCAGCTTTGTCAAAAATCAGTTAGCTGTAGGTACTGTTGGCTATAGATACAGTGGATTAATTTCTGGGTTCACTGTTCACCGTTGGTTTATTTGGCAGTAGTGTCACACTATTTTGGCTACTTCATCATTGTAGTATATTTTGAAGTCTAATAGTGTGATGCCTCCAGATTTTTTTTTTTTTTTTTTTTGCCAGAATTGCTTTAGCTATGTGGGGTGTCTTATGGTTCCATACATATTTAAATAATTTTTAATTTGTATTTAGGTGAAGAATGTCATTAAGATTTTGATAGGAATTACATTGAATCTGTAGATTGCTTTGAGTAGCATGGTCATTTTAACAACATTGATTCTTCCAATCGACGTGCATGGGATGTCTTTCCATTTGTGTGTATCCTTTTCAATTTCTAAGTATTTTGTAGTTTTCCTTGTAAATGTCTTTTACCTCCTGTATTTAATGTGTTCCTAGGTATTTTATTTTATTTTTGTAACTATTGTAAATGGGATTGTCTTCTTGATTTCTTTTTCAGCTAGTGTGTTGTTCATGTATAGAAAGGCTAGTGATTTTTGTATGTTAGTTTTGTAAACTGCAACTTTGCCGACTTCAGCAGTTCTGAGTTTTTTGGTAGTCTTTAGGTTTTTCTCTAGGTAAGAGCTTGTTGCGTGGAAACGAACAATTTGACTACCTCCTTTCAATTCGGATGGGCTTTATTTATTTCCCTTGTCTAATTGCTCTGGCCAGGACTTCTAGTACTATGTTGGATAACAGTGAGGAGAGTGGGCATCCTTGTCTTGTTTCAGTATTTAGGGGAAAAGCTTTTGGTTTCTCCTTGTTCTGTATGATGTTAGCTGTGGGTTTGCCATATCTGGCCTTTACTGTGTTGAGGTACTTTCCTTCTATACCTAATTTATTGAGAGTTTTTATTGTAAAGAAACATTGGGCCGGGCGCGGTGGCTCACGCCTGTAATCCCAGCACTTTGGGAGGCCGAGGCGGGCAGATCACGAGGTCAGGAGATCGAGACCATCCTGGCTAGCATGGTGAAACCCCGTCTCTACTAAAAAATACAAAAAAATTAGCCAGTTGTGGTGGCGGGCGCCTGTGGTCCCAGCTACTCGGGATGCTGAGGCAGGAAAATGGCATGAACCTGGGAGGTGGAGCTTGCAGTGAGCCGAGATCGCGCCACTGCGCTCCAGCCTGGGCGACAGAGCGAGACTCCGTCTCAAAAAAAAAAAGAAAAAAAAAAAAACATTGAACTTTATAAAATGCTTTTTGTGCACATATTGAGATGATAGTATAGTTTTTGTTCTTCATTCTGTTGATGTGATATATCGCTTTTATTGATTTGCCTATGGTCCATCATCCTTGCATTCCGAGGACAAATCCCACTTGATTGTGGTGTATTATCTTTTTGATGTATTGTTAAATTTGGTTTACTAGTATTTTGTTAAGGATTTTTAAATCTTTGCTTATCAAGGATATTACCCTGCAGTTTTCTTTTTATCGTTGTGTGCTTGTCGGGTTTTGGTATCAGAGTTGTGCTGGTCTCATAGAATGAGCTAGAAAGAGTTCCCTCTGCTTTAATATTTTTGGAATAGTGTGAGAAAAAATTGGTACTAATTATTCTTTAATGTTTTGTGGAATTGCTGAAGCCTTCTACTCCTGGACTTTTATTTGTTGGGAGACTTTTTATTACTGATTTAATCTTGTTACTTTTCATTGGCCTGTTTAAATTTTCTATATCTTTTTGGTTTAATTTTGGTCACTTGTATATGTCCAACAATTTATCAGATTCCTCCTGGTTTTCAAATTCATTGGCATATAAATTCTGCTAGCAGTTTAATGATCCTTTGTGTTTCTGTAGTATCTGATGTGGAATCTTTTGTTGGTTTCAAATTTTATTTGTCTTTTTTTCTTAGTGTAATTAATAGTTTGTCAATTTTATTTATCATTAAAAATTTTTTACCTTTTGTATTTTTTTAGTCTTAATTTCATTCGATACACTTTGATTTTTATTATTTATTTTCTTCTACTAATTTGGGGTTTGGTTTGCTCTTACTTTTTTAGTTCCTTGAGATCATTGTCAGTTTGTTTATTTAAAATTTTTCTATTTTTGATGTAGACATATATTGCTATACATTTTCCTTTAAATACTACTTTTGCTATGTCCCATAAGTTTTGATATGTTGTATTTTTTGTTTTATTTGTTTCAAGAAATTTCTAACTTTTCTCCTTAATTTCTTCTTTCTCCTATTCGTTGTACAGGAGCATGTTGCTTAATTTCCATGTATTTGTATAGTTCAAATGTTCCTCTGGTTATTTATTTCTAGTCTTATTCTATTATTGTCAGATAAGATACTTGATGTGATTTCAAATTTGAAAGTTTTTTGCGGCTTGTTTTGTGTTCCAATATATGAATGATCCTGGAGAATTTTCCATGTATTGATGAAAAAATTATGTGTACTTTCTGCAGCTATTTGACAAATTGTTCTATACAAGTCTGTTAGCTGTGTTTTGTCTATGATGTAGTTGAAATCCAATGTTTCTTTGTTGATTTTCTGTCCTGATGACCTTTCCAATGCTGAAAGTGGAGTGTTGAAGTATCAAACTATTATTGTATTGGGGTCCATCTCTTCCTTCATATCTAATAATATTTGCTTTATAGATCTGGCTACTCTGGTATTGGATACATATATATACAATTGTTATATTCTCTTGCTGAATTGATTCATTTATTATCATATAATGTTCTTGTCTCCTCATATAGTTTTTGACTTGAAGTGCATTTTGTCTGATATAAGTATAGCTGCTCTTGCTCACTTTTGTTTCTGTTTGAATGCCATCACTTTCAGTCTACATACTTTTATGGGAGAGGTGAGTTCCTTGTAGGCAGCATATAGTTGTTTTTTTGTTTGTTTGTTTTTTAATCCATTTAACCAGTCCATACATTTTAAATGGGGAATTTAATCCATTTACATTCAAGGATTATTATTGATAGGTGAGGACTTACTCTTGTCATTTTATTGATTGTTTTCTGGTTGTTTTGTATGTCGTTTGTTCCTCACTTCTTCTCTCATCATTTATTTTCGTAGTTGGGTAGTTTTAAGAATAGATTTCTTGCTAATCAAGCAGAAAGGCATTGAACCATTTAAATTTAGAGCTTTGATGAAATTTTGACATTTTTATTCTCATCAGTGTAAGGCCCACCAAATATGTTTTATAGGACTCAGCTTCAACTATACATTGATTTAAACGTTCTTTTAGAGAGAAATAATTTGAAACAAATACAAGTATGTGGTATGAAAGCTGCTAACATAGTCATTATATTCCATAGAATTATAAAATATCTATATATTCTAGATTTAGAATTGATCGGAACATCAGTAGCCCTATGAGGCAATTGTTGCTAATCTCATACTTTAGTTAGGAACACATCTTTACCCCAGACTAAAACATCTCTGTTAAAAAATGTAAGATGACCACAGTATAAGCAACAATCTTTTCCATAACCATTTCTGAATTTACTGAGTTATTTCCATTCATAATGAAATACATTTATTCACTTTGTGAAATGTTGATTTTATGTATAGTATTCTCTGCTATTTTTTCATCACTGGAAATAAAAATTTGAGTGAGTCTATAGTGAATTAATACAGTTTTCAAGTGTATGGCATCCTTCAAAACATTAACCAAAGATTTATGTTTTTCTGAATCATATCCTGCCACTCTCGTAGCTTTTCACGTTTTACAAATGACTACCTGGCTTGGTTTGGTATGAAATGGTTAAACATCCAAATCCCTTGCTTTTGCTGCATGATGATAGTTAAAATTATGGCATAAGAAAGGATCATGAAGTCAATGACATCTGCCTGATGGAGAGTTACTTTTCACTGGAAGCTAGAGCAGCCCAAATGACCTTGCTGACAGCCACATGGCAAAAGAAAATCAAAATAGGTGCCCAATCTAATCTTAACTCTCTTAAGAGATTTTTTTCACATTGAAACAGAATATACAGCCCTCACAGGCTCTGTCATCAGCACTTAGTCACTTTCTACTGGGAAAATGTAGTTTTAGAGATATTAAAATACAGGCTTATGTGGCACACACACAAAAACCAATCTCTTTTTCCACACACCACCTAGACTCTGAGGATCACTGAAATTTGTAGTGGCCAGTCTGGAGTGAAGGTGTGTAGAAACAAAGGCATGAGAGGGGAGAGAATGAAGCCACATAAAAAGGTTGCGGATATCATTCAGAAGAATCAGGGCCTACATGGGGAGTCACTTCAAGCACAGAACAGATAAATAGCATGCTTAGTATTTGGGTTGTGGAAGCATCACTCTGACTTTCTACTATCCCATATTGCAGACTGTCAAGCCTGCATGCAATAAATTTGAAAATGGTTACTTAAAAGTCTCAAGAGCTCCCTTGGTTTAATTCCATGCCAAGTAAGAATTCCATTTGATGGATACACAGGGCATTTCTTCTTGATTATGGGATCATTATGAGCAACAGCTCTGTCACAGTCTTAAAATGCAGAGGGATGAGTAGGTGATTTTACTGCAGTCATCTGAATACCTGTCTTCCATTAGAAATAGAGAGCTGGTCTTACTTAGGTCATTCAAACATTACTGGAAAATAAGACTTAGAGTGATGGAAAAAACAAAACAAACAACACATAGATGTCTAATTATGTGGTTTAACTTCCCATTTCTCCCCCTAAGAAGAAGCACTTTGACACTTGTCTTGTCAGGGCTATTGTTCCAGAAGACAATATCAATGAGCCCTCTGTAAATTTTTCCTGAGTTGATTCGATTCTAATGTATAATATTTGAAAAAATGCTTTGTATTTCATTTCACATACATTATGTAATTTTAACCTTAAACTAACTATTGGTTATGTATTATTAGTATTCCTATTTTATGAAAGGTAGGTACATAAGCTCAGAGGGATAAACTGTTTTATCTTAGAGAAAAATAATCAGTCAACAGAAAATAAACAAAATTATCTATTGACCATAGGCTCCTACTTTTTCTTTAAAAAAATGAGTGATCAAAAAACACAGGTTATATACAGGGTGTTTATATTCATATGCAAAGTAATGATGGTCCATGTTAATTGACCATGTTTTCTGAGACACCAAATCCTGTCTTGTTGTTTTCATTGGCTTAGATTTTTTTTTTAATCTGATGGAGCTTTGTTAATAGAGTGGCATTAAGACATTGAGGTGCCCAAAGATATGACATAAACAGATACTTTTCCAAGGACAAGTTGCCTTTCTGTAATAAAAGGAGTGTACAGGAACAGAGTGAGACATTCTATGGCCCTGTCAGCCCCTGGTGTGTTTATCCAATTCTCTTTGCTGTCTCTGAACTCAAAGTATGGATATAAATATATCACCCTCCCTAAACTGGAAGCAGGAGGCAAATGCACAAATAAGAACAAGATAAGAATTTGAAAGTTAAAATTACACAGATATAATTTTATAACAAAGAACAATTTTAAGAAGCGAAGAAGACAATTTTTATTTATAAATGTGGAACATTCTGAGCACAGAGGGGCCTGTCACACATAGTATATTGTGATGCAGTCTCCGAACACTTAATGTGTTCATTTTATTACCATTTTACTCTGGAGTAGAATGACATACTAAACTGATCAATAGAAGGCTTTGGCTTCCTCAAGATGTTTACAGAGATTGTTGATATTGAATAACATGAAATGTTCTTTTATTTTTCTGTTGACTGTTACATTGTCTGACTTCTGTGGGTATTTTAAAATTTTACCATGGCTTACTTCCTAGTTCCGAACAGCTAGTCAAGAGGAGCAGGTTAATCACCTGCAGATCTGTTAAGTCCCTAGACATGTGACATTCATATTATCACAGACATTAAGAAAAATCATGTCATTGTTCAGAGAGAGGGAAATGTAAGGATTCTGGGGCAAGGAAAATTCTCAGAAATAGTTGCTTTTAGATTTGTCTTCAGTGGTGTAGGGGCTTGGTTCAAGTCAAACTATATTGAACCCCCAAATAGAACATACGCACCAGCTGCTTTCATAGAGGACTAAAAGTAAGGAAAGACACTTTTATTGATGTCTCTGGGATCTCATTGCTGCTGGTGGGTGGAGAGGAGTGGACAGAAAAAGGGGAATAATTAACACATTTTATATGCTACTCTATTCTGTTATTATATGCCAGATACCAAGACAGGAATTTTCTTTTTTTTTTTTTCTTTAATGTGCTGGTGTTGTTATTGTCATTTCATAGGCATGCCTATAAATTCTCAGAATCAGAGCCAAATCTAAAACTCAAATCTTCTGATTACAATTTCATGCTGTTGTTAATCAGGACTGTTTGGTTTGGATATGACAAAAACCCAACTCATTTTAGTTAAAAGGGGAATTTCCTGGTTTTAATTAAGGAAGATGGAAATTAAGATTCTACTGGATGGCTGGGCCTCAAAAACTTGAACATGCCCAGGACACTCTCTGAGTTCCATTCCTTCTCACTAGGCTTGACAGCATCAGTTTGTCTAAAGGATTCATCCACACATCAAGCAGTAAGATCACTGATTCATCCTGTATCTGAGGTGTCCAAGTTTCATCACTGGAGAGACTAGGATTAAGGCTCTGCCTCTCTGTTAATGTCTTGGGGAGGTTTCTGATTGGTCCAACTTATGTCAGGTGCTTGTCCATATACCACTAAACTGTGCTTATCAAATGAATTATTATTGTCCTTGCTTGCTTAGCCCGATGCTTTTTGATGGTAGAAAGGGCAGTGGCAGCTACATGAAATAACTTGGGTCACCCAGATGGCAGTAGGTGGGAGTGAAAGTTCTATCTCTCACACTGTACATGTATATGATCAGTTGGCAGCTACTCTGATCTTAGAACAGTCTATTCTCTCAGGATGAACCCAAGGCCATTGGCTTCATTGACAGAGTACTATGCCCTAGGAGAGTACTCTGACCACCCAATATGCTTCATCAGAGGTTACTAATTACATCTTTCACAGAATGTAAAAGAACAGCCACAGTTATTTCACAACTCTTAGGTCACGATTGAAATGAACAATATAAGGTGAAAATAAAGAAACTTCATTGCATTACTAATGAGGAAATCTTGGGAGCCATGTACCAAAAAAATTATATTGACTAGAAAATTATGATCAGATGAAATTGAAAGAAGATCTGCAATCTTACCCAAAGCCATAAGGGTAATCTCTATGAGCTCTCTAAAACAATCCCAAGTAAACATTTGAACCTGGTAATAACACCATGCTTGCTATATACAAAAAGACACAGAAAGGGACCTCTCAAATGGTAAGGCTGCCTTTATCTTCTTCAAAAACAAAAGCCTGGGAACACTTCTGCCTTAAATAATCAAAGAGTTAGTGGACATGAGCCTGGCAAAACTCTTCTACCCTGCTGTCTATGAGAGCTGTCTTATAATAATGAGGTGCAGAGAGAAAGAGAGAGAGAGGAATTGATGAGCTTGAGGAGAGAAGGAAGTTTGGAGTCTGTCCAGATTCCAGCTCAACTCTTGCGGTACAGCAGTGACACTAGGAATCCTCTAGTCCATTTGTACCCAGGATGGCAGCACCGAACAATGAACTAGGGGTACAGGGACAACCTGGAAGACAAAGTGATAGCAAGTGAGCACCTGGCCATCTCACAAAGAACTGAGAACATGCAATGCTCTCCTTCTAAATAAAGCACAAGACTAAGACGTGCTTCAGAAGAGGAACAGAACCCCCACTAGGACTATACTGTTACACGTCATTTTTGTTTTCCTTAGGGAAAACATTCAAACAAGGAAATACCAAAGTCCAGCAGAATCCATCTGAACTCCTCCCTGATGCTTTATATGGTTCTCAGTTTTGGCTGCACATTAAAATCACTTGGGAAACTTCAAAATTCCCAGTGAGCAGGCCACTCCTGAGATCAATTAAATCAGAATTGCTGGAGAAGGGACCCAGATCTCCCTACTGTCTTTAAAGCACCCTGGATTTTATTGTGCAGTGATGGCTGTGAACCACTGCCATAAATAAATGCTGGGTAAGTAATTGTCTCATTCTGCAAGAATAAGCAGAGCAAGGAAAATCACTAGAATTGAGCTACTGCAGTTCAAAACTATAGGGACACCTGGAGGAGGCAGAGAACACAGCTACCAGACAGTTTTTAATTACTTTTTTAAAAACTTTCTTTGTATGCATGGAATTCCTTAGAAAACTTATACATTGTTAGCTCTGAAATATCTTTCTCCAGTCAATTATGGCTTTCATTCTTCATCTGATGAATAAAGACATTGAAGTATTTCAAGGTAAAATTGCTTGTTTGCCAAATGTACATTTTAGCAACAGCACTGTTGCCTTTATCTGAAGAACAGTTTTTTCCAGTTATTTGAAAACTTAATTTCATTTTGACCTGATTTATTGAAAAAGTAGAAAGAGAAAAAAATAAAAATGAAGTTATCAGTCAAAAGTAGCACAAATATAACATAATCAAATTCAGACAAGGATGGAAACTATTGTGTGTCTAATGAGATGAGTCTTTAAAATCCATCAGTCATTTGGACAAACATGGTCAGCTCATGCAAAAAATGGTGCAAAAGCCTAAGTTTAAAAATTAATAATTAGATATAATATGTTTAAAATGTGTCTTGGAAATTTGTGACTAAAGGCTAGTGTCATGAGAAATTTTAAATCATATATTTGGCTCTCTGAGAATGTATAAAATATAAGGCCTTTTCAAATTATACATATTTAACTAGTACATGTTTTCAGGAATGCATTATGGATGAAATTAAGGAGCTCTGTCAAATTCAAGGAAGCAGAAAAAAATAGAAAATATTCATTTTAGGCAATGATTGAGTGTAAATAGTGTATTTGGGACAGAATGCCAGGAAACACTGAAAGCACTATAAAGAAGTAAGACGGGGAAGCCAAAAAGTATGTGCAATCAGGTACAGCACCCCTGCACTCACCTGGGGCTTGATCACGTTGGTGAACTCTGCAAACCAGTATACAGGTGCCTCAGGGCTCTCCCATGTGAGGAGCAGGAGCTGGATACTCACCCACTAATCAAACTATACAGTCATTGCTTGAGGACTTCTGCCAGGAAGCATTCTTCCCTTGGCACTTACAGCCTGCTCTAGCCACAGGGGATGGCAAATAGAACCCCCACTCTCTAAGTCAAGGAGTCACATGTACCAGCAATTGGATAAGAGAGAGCATCTGCTAAAAGGGTGTTTTGAAATAAAACAGAGCAGGGGTCAGCAAACATTTTTTTTCTTGTAAAGGACCAGATGGTAGATATTTTAAGCTTTGTGTGTCACATATGGTCTTTGTCACGTATTTTTCTTTTTCTTCTTCTTCCTTTTTTTGGGGTAACTCTTTAAAAATGTAAAAACATTTTTAGCTCACAAAAAAACAGGTGCTGTAACAAATTTGAGCTACAGATTTTAGATTGTAGACGGCTGAAATAAAGGATTTTTTTAAAAACTAAAATTCAAACTTATTAGTTAAGTTGATAAATCAAAATGAAATATGTTCCAAGATAAAGACAATCTTTGAATAAAAAACTTTTATTGCATATTGCTTATATACTACACATAAATTAAATGATTACTGTAGAAAAACAACTGTGCTACCATAACAGATGACCAAAAACAGATATAGTTCAGGCAAGAACAAACAAGGTAAAGTTGAAGGATTTAAAGAATGAAAGTTATTTTGTATTAGTAAAAGTAGCAATGTTATGTAAATGTACAAAAATGTGAAACCTACAGAGAAAACATTGTAATGATATTCTTTCATTTAACAAGATATCAAAATACAAGAAAAAAAAAGCTGTGGAAAATAAAGGAGAGAGGAACAGAAACACCATTAAAATGGTAGACTTATTTAGCATATCAGGTATTAACAAAATTTAAAAGTAAAATATATGGAGAAACAATCTTATTAGATAAAAACTGTTATAAATTTTAGTGCATAGTTACAAATTTTAAGAAATAGTAATTTATTTTCAGAGAATTAGCTAACTGTGATTCTTAGCTCTAGTCTGTATGGTGAGTTAATCATTCAACATCTGACTCCTATGGGTCTTCTAGCACTCAGGGTGTGATATTCTGAAAACTTACCTGTCCTTAATAAATTTGGAAGGCTTCACTGGTCCTCAAGTATCAGCATAGCAGTTATCAGTTACCAGTATAACAACCATCAGATGTAAAATTTTCTAACTTTCTATTCAAGCCAATGGGCTTTTTGCTTGAGCAAAGAGGATATATAGGTAAAGCCAGAAAACACATAGGTATTCTTTTTTTTAAGTCTCTTCATCTGCAGCATTAGACAGCAGGATACATCCCCCTGTGTTTGAGGAATCATGGACCTCTTTTCCGCTTCTTCTAGCCTCCAATTCTCTCTTTTATCCACAAGAATTTCTCTTTATGTCTCTTCTAGTCTGCTTACAGAAAATTACTCTGTCCTAAATCATAGATGTTCAATACAGTCTCCCCACACTTTTAGAATTTTGAAATAAAAGCAGAGAAGAAAGCAGCATTCTTGCAGGCAACAGCTGTCTTTCCAACATTGTTCTTGCTATTACACCATCTTCCTGGTGTTCAAACACTATTAAATACATATAAACAAAACTATACAGGATTAGAAGTAAATACAAAAGCAAACACAAACAAAATCAAAACTCTCAGGCCCTTGGAAATAAGAAGTTATTTTTGTAATTCTCCTGAATTAAGAATCCAATGTGAATTTTTTTTATTATTTCCAAAATAATGACTGTAAGAAAGCTACATATCAAAACATAGAGGGTATATCCAATGAAGTACACTGAGAAAAAATGTAGGAACTTTTTCTAGGGCTTTGACATAGGCATTCTTTTTGATGTTGTATGGATTATAATGGAGCTAGAAAAACACTTTATTCTATAAATAGTATCCACTGTTAAGTAATATAAAAACCAAAAAAATGGCAAATTTAATACTTGGATTTTTTTCAAATAAAAATAATTTAATTTCTTAAAAAATACTTCTCTACCATGAAATACCATGTAAGAAATATTACATAAAAACAGGAACGCACAAAAATTTTTATAAACCCAGTATCTGAGAAATTGCAGAACTTAACATGCTAAAAATTAGATTGTTCTCTTAAAGCTTTCTTCTAATTTTAATTATAAAAAATAGCAACTAATAAAGTGGGAAATATATAGATGGCAGACCAAGCAGATTTATCCAAACTATGTAACTATTACAAATTTGCAAAAATAAGGCTGATAAGCCCAATGTAAATATTCAAAATAAGAGTTGAAATTGGTAATAAAATAATTTTAAAGCGTGTAAACTCCTTGGAATTACATTTAAACAAATTCAAACACCAACAATGTAATATTCCTCAAGTCAATACAAAATATTTAAAACACTGAGCATTTTCCATCAAGGGAGGATATCAACACTCTCATACATTTATAGTGGTAATGTATAAGATCCTAAACTTCTTCTGAGGGCCAAATGGTAAGATATACGAATGGCCTTTAAATTATTTGACTTAATACTTTTAATTAGGACTATACTTCGTCCACAGGAAATAATCAGTGTTTCAAATAAAGACATGTGAACAAGTATATTTTGTATAAAATAATTGAAAAGGAGGAAATAAATGAAAATTCTGAGAAATGAGTAATAATAAAATAAATTGTAGGCAACTGCAGATCACAAAGAGGGCTAAAAAAAAAATCTTGAGTACTGTGTTAGTTAAATTTATGTGTCAACTTGGCTAGGCTGTAGTGCCCAGTTGTTTGTTCAAATACCAGCCTAGATGTTGTTATGAAGGTACTTTTTACATGTGATTAACATTTAAATCATGAAACTTAGAGTTAAACAGATTACCTTCCATAATGTTGGTGAGCTTCATCTAATCAATTGAAGGCCTTAAAGTGAGAAGACTGAAGTTTCCTTAAAAAGAAGGAATTTGGACTTAAGACTGCAACATAGTAACCTGGCCTGAGTTTCTAGCCTGCCTGGCCTGCTTTGCAGATTTCTGACTCAAGACTCCGACTTCCACCATCAGCTCTTACCTTAATTTCCACGCTGTAGACTTGTCCTACAGGTTTTGCCCCTGCCAGCCCCAGTGATATTTTAAGCCCATTCATTCTCTCTCTCTCTCTTTCTCTTATTGGTTCTGTTTCTCTGGAGAACACTGACTAATAGAGGTACAATAATTTTTTTTTGTTTTCCAAATAAAATATTATGACTTTTGCTTCAAGCTGTGATAGAATAACTACTGCCAGATTTAACAATCATGGGATGACCATATGCAGACATTAGACAAAAAGCAACACGGAAATTCAATTCTGAACAAAGGAAAACTCATAACCTGAGCCTCTGGATTGCTGCCTGAGGACATTTTTCTGACTCTAAGCAGACATCACAAAAGGGAGACATGAGGGTTGAGACAGCTGAAGTGTGGAGCCTGGCAGACATAACACCATGAAGGATGGATTACTAGGAGACTGTGTAGTGATGTCTAGTGACTCTGTCAAAGATATAAGCTGTGCATGCCAAAAGGTGTGGCATTGAAAATGTAACAGAGAAAGGTTGAGTCGTGCTGGGGACGTTAATGGTCCAGTATATCTAGAGTAGAGAGACCTTATCAACTTTCCAGCATCTATCTGAGACGCCAGAAACGCCACAACCTAAAAGTAAGAACCATATTCTAAAATAAAGTCTACTGTAGACCTGTCCTAAAAGAGTCTAAGACTGACCCTAACAAGAGCTGATGAGTCGATAGAGTTTGGAGGATGAATCTTCCAAGTTAGATTGACTTAGAAAATAATTTGGGCTTTCTACAGATCTGTCTCAACAAAGAGCAAAACACCACCACACACAAATTCAAGGTGATCAACCAGTAAATGAATGACCTATCAGATCAAAAACGAATACTCCTTTGAGGAAGACAACACAATCTTTAGTATCTACAATGAATAAGAATTAATGTCCAGTATAATACACACACACACACACATATATGACATGCATGGGGGTATAAAAACATAATAATGTAGAGTCCAGGAAAAAAAGCATATAGTAGAGACCAACCTGAAATGGCCAGGTGTTGAATTAGCAAACAAAAATGTTCAAGCAGCTATTAATTACAAATCTTTTCAAAGAACTAAGGGAATAAATAGTCAAAGAGCAAAAAAAAGTCAAAAATTTAATAAATGAACAGAGACTTGAAAAAAATATATATATAAAATAAAACCAAATGAAAATTATAGAACTAAAAGGTACAATAACAAAAATTAAAAATTTGCCAAATAGTCTTAAGAACTGTTTTAATATAGAAGAAGAAACAGTGAACTTGAGGATAAATCAATAGAATTATTTAATCTGAAAAACAGAAAAAGTGATTGAAGGATAATGAACAGGGTATTAGGGAACTGAGGCACAGCATCAAATGGTCTAACATGTTTGTAATAAAGATTCTAGAATAATAAGACAGCAAGAATAATATAAAAATTGAAATAATGGCTGAAAAATCTCTAAATTTGGTTATTAATATTTATTTACATACCCAAGAATCCCAGGATACATCAAGAAGGATAAATACGAAAACAACACAAACAAAAAACAAAAAAATACATGGTACATCAAACTCATAGTGGTTAAAACCAAATATAAAAAGAAAATCTTAACAGTGATGAGTACAAAATAAAAATTATATACAGAGATCAATGATAATAATAAATACTGATTTCTCATCATAAACAGTAAAAGCCAAAAGATACTGGTACAATAATTTTCAAGTGCTGAAAGAAAAAACAAGACAGAATTATCTAGTGACAATATCCTTCAAAAAGGAAGTATGACGTTAAGCTATTTTTAGATAAGCAAGAACTACTTTCAGATAAATTATCAGCATAGCTGAATTATGACAAATTCTAAAGTATATTTTTCAGGCTTAAGGCAAGTGATACCAGATGGAAACTTCGACCTATAGGAAGAAAAAAACACAATCAGAATGATAAGTATAAATATAAAGTATTGTTTATATCCTAAATTTCTGAAAGAACTACAGCTATAATGCAAAAATAATAACATTTTAGAAATAAACATTTAGAAATAAAACATACATCAACAATTACCCAAATGAAGAAGGTGGACAAATGCAAAAATAATGCAGTATAATTATTGTATTTGTGAAGTAGCAAATGTCAAGTATAGAGTGAGATGTTGAATGTGTACTGTACAATGTAATGTAAAAAGTGTGAGTCAGGTATGAACTCATACAGTATTGACTCTAAATAGACTTTAATATGTTAAGAATTCATGTTTTTAGCTCTAGAGAAACCATAAAAAGTAACATGGCTAAGAATGTAATAAAGAAAATAAAATAGGCCGGGCGCGGTGGCTCAAGCCTGTAATCCCAGCACTTTGGGAGGCCGAGGTGGGCAGATCATGAGGTCAGGAGATTGAGACCATCCTGGCCAACATGGTGAAACCCCGTCTCTACTAAAAACACAAAAATTAGCGTGGCTGCGTGTGCCTGTAATCCCAGCTACTAGGGAGGCTGACGCAGGAGAATCGCTTGAACACGGGAGGCAGAGTTGCAGTGAGCCGAGATTGAGCAACTGCACTCCAGCCTGGCAACAGCTAGACTCCGTCTCAAAAAAAAAGAAAAGAAAGAGAAGAAAAGAAATGGAATACTGAAAGTATTTGATTAACCCAAAATAAGTCAGAAAAGAGCAACAGAGAAAGAAAAATTAGAAAGGGCACATGGGAAACACATAGCAAGATGGTAGACATAAATTCAACCACATCAATAATTACATCAAATGACAGTGTTAACTAAAATACAGAGATGAAAAAGACTCAATATTTCCCTTTCTTTAAAGACAAATAGTCTGAAAGTAGGAGAGTAGAAGGATATAGAATGTAAACACTACACATAGGAAAGCTGGTATAGGTGTGTCAATATCAGACACATTAAACTTCAGGGCAGAGAATTATAAGAGCTAAAGAAAAACTTTTCACAATGATAAAAAAACAAATCATCAGAAGGATGTAGTAATCCTAAATCTGTGTACACCTAATAAGACTATGTTTTCTGACCATAATTAAATTTCATTAGAAACCATTAATAATAATACATATATAAAATGGCAAAATATTTAAAATTATATTTTTACAAATTAAAAATAAGTGTATCATAAAATAAATAACAAAAGCAATTAGAAAAAATGTTAAAAAGATAATGGATGTGTATCATATCAAACTTAATTTGATGCAGTAAAAGAAATCTTAATTTGAAGATGTAGGTTAAATTTTTAGATTTAAAACTAATAATCTAGGTTTACCCATTAAGAATCTGAGAAGAAAAAGCACAAATTAAATTGAAGATAAGAAGAAGAAAATAATTAATACTGGGTAGAGCATAAATTAATGAAACAGAAAACAGACAAGCAAAAAAATTAGCAAAGTCCTAATTTTTAAAAAAGATTAATACAATTTATCAAAATTTAGAAGGACTGATCAAGAAAAAATATGAACTACCCATACCCAAAACAAGCAAAAAAAAAATTACTCCAGATTCTATATCTAATAAGAGGATAATAATGAACATCATTTTACGCTTAGAAAATTTTATGAAATAAAAAATTCTTTAAAAAATGCCAGCTACCAAAGTTAACACAAGAAGCAATAGAAAATTAAAATAGCTCTATATCTATTAAAAAATTTATAATCAAAATTTTTGACACACACATAGATGGACACACACATGAACACAACAAAACTCTAGGCCCAGATGGTTTTGTTGGTTAATTCTATTAAGTATTTGAGAAAAATATAATATCAGTCTTATGCAATGTTTCTCAGAAAGTAGAGAAGGAGAGAACACTTCTCCAATCACTTTATAAAGGCAGCACAATCCTAATACCAAAAACTGAGAGACATTATGACATTTTTAATTATAGGCCACTATTAGTCATGATAATAGATTTAAAAATTCACATCAAATACAGTACTAGCAAATAAGTATACACTTATATAAAAAGCATACTTCAAAATGATCAAGTAAGGTAAACTTAATAATGCAAGGTTGGTTCAACATTTGAAAATTAAGCAATATGATTTGCCACATTAACATAAAAAAGAAGAAAAATTATGTAATTATTTAATAGAGGCAGAAATTTAAAATCCAACATGATTAAGAAACTTTCAGCAGGCCGGGCATGGTGGCTCACACATGTAATCTCAGCACTTCAGGAGGCCAGGGTAGGCGGGTCACCTGAGGTCAGGAGTTCCAGACCAGCCTGGCCAACATGGTGAAACCCCGTCTCTACTAAAAATAAAAAATTAGACGGGCATAATGGTGGGCGCCTGTAATTCCAGCTACTCAGGAGGCTGAGGCAGGAGAATCGCTTGAACCTAGGGGGCAGATGCTCAAGGGATCCAAGATCACGCCACCACACTCCAGCCTGGGCGACAGAGTGAGACTCTGTCTCAAATAAAAAACAAACAAACAACAACAACAACAACAAAAATTTTCAGCAAATTAGTAATAATAGAAGGCATCTTCCTCAACTTAATAGTGGCATTTACAAAATACCTATAGATAATATTCTATTTGATCTTTAAAATGGAATGTTTTATTCATGATAGCTCTAAATTAACCATCTACAGGTGAATAATGAAATGGAGATATATCCATACAACAATGTAAGTCAGGAATAAAATAATGTACACACACATACACACATACACATACATACAGCCACACATGGTTGAACTTTTTTTTTTTTTTTTTTGAGATGGAGTCTCGTTCTGTCACCCAGGCTGGAATGTAGTGGCACAATCTCAGCTCACTGCAAGCTCCGCCTCCCGGGTTCATGCCATTCTCCTGCCTCAGCCTCCACCCCGGCTAATTTTTTGTATTTTTAGTAGAGACGGGTTTCACTGTGTTAGCCAGGATGGTCTCGATCTCCTGACCTCGTGATCCGCCCACCTCAGCCTCCCAAAGTGCTGGGATCACAGGCATGAGCCACGGCTCCCGGCCGGTTGAATCTTAAAAAGAGCATGCTGAGCCAAAGAAACAACATAAAAGTACTTACAGTATGGTTTGATTTATATAAAATGGTAGAATTTGCAAAACTAACATATAAAACTCATGTATGCTTAATTCATAAATATACATAAAATATTCATAGTTAATGTATGAAACTAATGTATAGATTTAGAAATCGGTAGTTGTCCAAGGCATAAATTAGGGATGATTGCATGCGAAGCCATAAGGTAACTCTCTGGGGTAATTGAAGTGCTCTGTATCTTGAAGAAGCTATGTTTAACGAATTAAAATTTGTTAAATTTTAATTAAAAATTAATTAAAAATTAAAAATTTAGATTTTAATTAAATTAAGTAAAAATTAACACTTTTCAGTACTCAGACTATCCATTTGAATGGATCTCTTATTACATAAATTATACCTTGATAATATTAATTAAAATGTATAACATTAAATAAGATGTAAGATATGGAATAACTTATTCTTTCTGGTTAAAATTCTATAAGATAGATGATAGAGATGATAAATGTCAAAGAGTGAGTAAAAAGGAATACAACATTATATTAACTATGATATGACGGGGATTTCTGGTAATTTTCATGCCTTTGTAATTGACAAACTTACTGTAATTAATGAACTTGCAAACAATGAGTATATATTACATTTGGTCGGTTTTATTTAAACTGTATAAAAAGAAAAAATATATAATGTATGATACAGAATAGATTTTTAAGATGTGTTTTTAAAATTTCTATGAGCTCTTTCTTTCCTTTTGTATATTCTCTTTTACCAGCTCACTATTTCCAGTCTCTTATTCATTTACTTCTGTTTTTCCTTTTCCCCATTATATTACACACCAATTCTTCTATATCTAGATATGACAATATGTGATGAAAGTCTTTGCCTCAATTTAATTCAAGGCAGTACAACAAATCTCCAAGGAACTAATTATCAAGTTTGCATAATATTGAAGCTAACACAGCCATACACAAACACAAAATGATAAAAAAATAGAATATATCTCCACTTTAATTGCTTTTTTTCATTTCTCATGACCTTAGCTCAGCCAGGATCCCAGTTTTTATATGCCTCATGGGATATAAAAATCTGTCTATCCTGAGAAACACTTTGGCTATGGACCACAATGGCCAACAAATACTTGAGGGAGCTTCTCAGAAGCAGGGCTAGAAGAAAGCACCATTGGCACAAACACAGTCACTGGCCAAATCCTTCTGCTGTGTTCTCTTTAGGAGGCCAGCTGGGAAGGCTCCCCTTTCCTCAGCTGGCTTCTAGGAAAGAAAGACTTTTGTTTGTGATATTTCCTATGAGAGTCTAGGAACTCAGTCCATCTATCCTGGCAGAGATCTTGTTTCCTGAGAAGGAAAAGACAATAATGAGCACACTGGTTTGTGGCAGGTTCACTACTGGTTAATATTGAGAGGTAACCAACAGTGGAAAACAACTGCAAAAATACTTTCCCTTTATAAAGTATTTTCTCACTGAAGTTTGTATAATCCTCCACTCAGGAAGGTGTTACTAAATGAACACGGAAACGCATAAAGACTAGAAAGGAAGTCATCTTCATCTGCCAGCAGCTTCAAGGTTGAGGTATAGAGTTCATCAGAAAGGAATAAAAACTATTACCAGAATTCAAAATAAAAGTTACAAAAGTTACATTGTCAACCAGCCTGGCCAACATGGTGAAACCCCGTCTCTACTAAAAATATAAAAATTAGCTGGGTGTGGTGGTGCATGCCTGTAATCCCAGCTACTTGGGAGACTGAGGGAAGAGAATTGCTTTAACCAGGGAGGCGGAGGTTGCAGTGAGCCGAGATGGTGCCACTGCACTCCAGCCTGGGAGACAGAGTGAGACTCCATCTCAAAAAAAAAAAAAAAAAAAAAAAGTTAAAATGTCAATATAAGATTAATTGCATTTCTATATATGCAAAAAAAAGTGATAAAAATAGTACCTTTTAATGGTATAAGAAAACTAAATCATTTGCTTAGGAATAAATTTAGCAAACTATGTGAAATATCTATACACTAAAACCATGAAAGCATTGTCAAGAGTAATTGAAGATCTAAAAAATGGGAAGAGATAGTAAGCTAATGGAATGGAAGACTGAATATTGCTAAGATTTTTCCCACATTGATCTAAAGCCTGTGTTCTCAACAGTAGCAATACCACCTCTCAAAGGAGAAAATTGGTTCTCAGGGGGCAAAAACCCTTAGATATTACAATGCTTGTCACTTTCCAAAACTCATCCCTGCCTGATAAATTTTTTTTCCTTATTTTTTAATTTATCTGGTTAAAGATAATTTAAACAATTTATTTTTCCTCATGGGGCAAGGTGACAATAATAATAATAAAGTTGAGAAACAGCAATCGAAAAATTTAATATACTCCCAGCCAAAATTCTGGCAGCTTTTTGATAAATCAAAAAAAAAGTCATAAAAGAATAAGAAATCTGGAGGTCTCAAGACAGTTGTATTGGACTAAGGGTTAAAAAAATAGAATAATAGAACAGATTAGAGGGTATAAGATATGACATGTGTGTTATGTGTGAAGCACCCCTACAACATAAAAATAGACAAAGTATCCAATATCTAACTAAAATAAGGAAGACTTTAAACAGATACTTTACAAATAAGATTCTCTAAAGGACATGATAAAATGTTCAACCTGGCCGGGCACAGTGGCTCACGCCTGTAATCCCAGCACTTTAGGAGGTCGAGGCGGGTGGATCACGAGGTCAGGAGATCCAGACCATCCTGGCTAACATGGTGAAACCCCGTCTCTACTAAGAAATACAAAAAATTAGCCAGGCATGGTGGTGGGTGCCTGTAGGCCCAGCTACTCTGGAGGCTGAGGCAGGAGAATGGTGTGAACTCGGGAGGCGGGGCTTGCAGTAAGCAGAGATCACGCCACTGCACTCCAGCCTGGGCGATAGAGTGACACTCCGTCTCAAAAAAAAAAAAAAAAAAAAAAAAAAGTTCAACCTAATTAATCAGCAAGAAAATATAAAATAAACCACAGTGTGATACCACCACGTACTCCCTAGACTGACTATTATGGATAATTCCAATTGTTAGCAAAGGTGGGAATCAATTTATAGGCTCATGAATTACTGTTTGGAAAGCTTTTACAAATGTTTTGGAAAACGGTTGGTGTTTTCTTAGAAAGTTTAACATATGCTTACTACACAATTCAGTAATTCCAGACTTAGGGATTTTCCTAAAAGAAATGAAAACATAGTCACAAAAGGATCTATATAAGAATGTCCACATTCTATTAATATTTTCCCAAAGCTGTGATAAGCGCATGTGTCCATGAACAAGGAAATGGATTTTAAAATGCTGTAACATATTCATATAGTGGAATCCTATAGAGTAGTAAAAGAAACCAAATTAATAATACATGAATCAGCATTATGCTGAGTGAAAGAAACTTTAAACAAAAGATTCCCTTTGTATGACACTGCATCATTCCCTTTATATAGCATTCAACAACAACAACAACAACAACAACAAAAATACAAAAATTAGCCAGGCTTGGTGGCACATGCCTATAATCCCAGCTATTCAGGAGGCTAAGGCAGGAGAGTTGCTTGAGTCCAGGCAGTGGAGGTTGCAGTGAGCCAAGATTGCACCACTGCACTCCAGCCTGGGCGACAGTGAGACTCCATCTCAAAAAACAAAAACAAACAAAAAACCATGGTAATAAAGAGCAGACAATGGTTGCATCTGGGAAATGGGATTGATGGGAAAAAAGGATAAAAAAGGTTTTTTGAGCTGATTACCTAGTACTTACAAGGATGCATATATTTGGAATAACTTACTGAAATGTACACTTAAAATCTGTGTCTTTTATGTAAATTGAGTCAACTTCAAACATTAAAACCTATATAAAATAGAACAGAATTGGAACCTAAAAATCAAAATGCACAGGAAAAATATATTAAAGAACAATAATAAAAGCATAGGGTTCTGGGATGCACACATGTATGATAAAACAAGACTAAAGCATAGGCTTTTGGTATGCATACATGTGTGGTAAAACAAAAGCACTGCAAGGAAATGATTAACTAAAAGTGAAGAGAATATTTGCTTAAGGAGAATGGAGGGCTTTACAAGGCATTTTGCAGGGATTCTGGAGTAGCTAGCAATAGTTCTTGACTTAATTGGTCAGTTGGTAATAAAGATGTGTTAACAAAAAATTTAAGTAGGAGATCATTAGGCTAAGACAACTTCAGTGTTTTGGGTTTCTACGTGAGAAAACTGAAGCCCGGTGTAAGCAATGTAATGAAACTTAAGCTTAATCAATCATAAACTGACAATTAACCTCTCTCTAATTAGGCACCAGATCATACTCCAATAAGGCAAATGCTCAAATAAGGCAAATTATAGCCAATTAATGCTCAAATAAGGCAAACTGTAGCCAATCAAGTAATTTCTTTGCTTCCGTGTTCAGTGTGTCATGCTGCTAAAGCAGAGCTCTCTGAACCTCTTGTTGTTCTAAGTGCTGCCCAATCCATGAATCATTTTTACTCAGATAAACTCTGCTACATTTAATTTGTCTAAAGGTTTTCTTGTAACAGTTGTTAGCCTCCTAATAATTAAGCTGTGAAGGCAATTGATAGACATTTTTGTATCTACATTTTATTTTAAAATAAGGAGATGAAACAAATTTAAAAATTGAAAAAGAGAAACTTCTTTACATATCATGTTTGAAGACATCTCAAAAAGTGTCAGATTTAAGATTAGACTCGAAGGATGAGAGTGAGCCATACCTTCGAAGAATATGAAAAGATAAGAATAAATGGATGTGGGAAAACTGAAAGCAGGTCACTATTGCTGCAGCAGGATGAAGTTGGGGGATAATGCCATGAAATTAAGTTGGTAATAAATATATGAGCCACAACCTGCAGAGAGTTGTAGGTTCAAGTAAGGAGCTTGAGTTTTATTATACAAGAATTAAGAAATCATTGAAGAGTTGAAAATGTAGAGAAGCATTTTTCTATCAACATATTTAGGAGATTATTGTGACTATTGTGTAGAAATTTATTTAAAGTAAAGTAAGAATGGAAATAGGGAGACAAGTTAGGATGACAGCAAAGTAGTCCAGGTTAGAGAAAAAACGCTCAGACCTGAATGGTGACAGTGGAGATATGGAGAAGTGAATGTCTTTAAGGTGTTTGGCTAAGTGGGTAAGAAAAAGTGAGATACTAGTGATCTTGATTCGTTTCCATCAAGACTAAGTAGATGATGGTGTCACATATTAAGATGGGGGCAGATTGATGTAGGAAAAAGTTCTGGAAAGTTTTTGTTCCTTTCCTAGGAAGGAAAATTCATAGCTAATTTTAGGAGATCAGAAATCAACACTCCTACCAAAAATCTGGAGGCTTATCTCCACTCCCTACTCTTGCATTCCTCATTGTGACAAGATTTTCTCTTCTCTGCCGTTAACACTCACTTCTCAGACTAACTTGTTCCAGCCTCAATGTTCTTTTTCCACCTCCTTCCCACCCACATTAATGTCTGTCCTTTTTGAAATATACTATTTTTTTCCTGTTTGAAAGATTCTTCACTACTAAATTTCTCATCTGTCTGCCAAGGCTCACCTTATATTTTATCATTTTCTTGAAAGCTTACTGGGAGAACTCCCCTGTGTAGTCAGTGCCTGTCCTTTGGCTATATATTTTTTATTATAGTTTTATCATACTTTGTTTATTTTTTTCTATATTTATTAAGAGGAAAGCCCACTGAAAACAAAGACACTAGCACTGGCTTATCTTTTCTATCCTTAGTCTTAGCACAATCCCCGACAAAGAACAAACATTAATATTTATTAATTGACTCTTTTGGAAGAAACTCAACCAATCCATGCTTTTGCAAAATAGAAAAAACTAGATGCTTAAAGCTGCCTATTATAATGCTATGTAGCAATTCAGTTCACCAAATATATATTAATCCCCTACTATGTGTCAGAGTTAAATATTAGGACTAGAAAAACTAATTAAAAAATGGTGCCCTGCTTAATATATTCCCAGTATAGTTGGAGGGTGACATTTGAACAGATAATGAAAATAAATGTGGTAAATGTCATAATATAGTTATGAACAAAGTGATATAGAAATGCAAATGAAGGAGAAAATTATTCTGCTCAGCAGGGCTTCCCTTAAGAAATCACCTTTGATCTGGCTCAAGCATGAGGAGTAGTCACTTTACTGAATACTTAAAAATATATATTTTACGATATCCATCAACTGAATTCCTCTGAGTGCCTTCAGATTTTGCAACATGTGGTCACTGTTTTTGCCTTGAGCACACTCTGATTTATGCAGAGTGCCTAAGCTTGTTGGAGCCACTATCCCACCTGTTCAATTCACTCTCCTCCTCCTTGTCTCAGCGAATGTGACCTGAATGGAAGAACCCTCAATGAGCTTTAGGCTTGCAGTTGTCATTAGCTGCAAGGTCTTGCACTGGTCACTGCTCTTTGAGGTTCCCAAGTGTGCTTGTCCATTCTCACACTGATATAAAGAAATACCCAAGACTGGGTAATTTATAAAGGAAAGAGGTTTAATTGACTAACAGTTCAGCACAGCTGGGGAGGCCTTGGGAAACTTAAAATAATGGCGGAAGGCACCTCTTCACCGGGCGGCAGAAGAGAGAATGAGTGCTGAGTGAAGGGGGATGCTCCTTATAAGATCATCAGATCTTGTGAGAACTCACTCACTATCATGAGAACAGCATGGGGAAAACTGCCCCCATAATTCAATTATCTCCACCTGGTCCCGCCCTTGACATGTGGGGATTATTACAATTCAAGGTGAGGTCTGCGTGGGGACACAGAGCCAAACAATATCACCAAGCTTCTTCATTTATCAAATAAGAGGGGTGGACTAAGTCTCCACTACCCCTTTTTTAGCATTCACATCCAGTAAAATAATGGCTATGAAGACTGTATCTTATGAAATACAGATAAATATTTGTTAGAGAAAATTGGCTAAAAAGGGGGTATAAATTTACATATAAATTATGCTTCTTTTGATTGAGACAATCAGTAGAGAATAGCCATAGAATTAAATTCACCAAGATACAAGAAAAGTCAGCTATGGGTGATAGAGTAGCAAAAATTGTTCTTTCCTATTTGCAATTACCAAAATTACTTGCAAAGTGTTATATGTTATAAAATAAATTTTCTAAAACCATTTTAATTCTGTTCTAATATTCTATAAATTAATTTCTTCTTATTGGCTTACTTTAGTGACATTGTAAAGGAAGATATTCCAAACTGCCTCCAGCTCTCCTTCCCTGCCCCAATTCGTTAAGGAGGAATTGCTGCTGCAGCTCTTCCCTGCCCTGCTGATGTGTAACAAGATAAACAAACCCAGTCTGTAATTGCTCCCCTTCAGTCTGAAATCTCTTCCTAGTGGGAAAGGCTTCCTACCAATTTGAATGTATTGGGGCTTTTTGAATGGGGCTCCACAGGGTCAGCCAGTGTGTGATAATGACATACTTGCAGGTCTTAATCCTCAGAGCCTGCCTTAGCTTGTTCTTGCCTTCATGCTAGAGGATTTCTTCTACAAAATTATTCGATGTATACACAATACCCTGGACTCTAATGTGTAGCAAATGCTGCTATACATTCATTTATGCACAGTTTGCTTGGAGAAAAACTTGCTGAGACATTTTGAAATGGAAACAGAGATGAGAAAAACAAGCAGGAGATTTCCCTGCAAATGTCGACTCTGAAGGCTAAAGGAAATTGCATTTCCACATGTAAAGCAGAAAAAAATGGGCCAGCTTTGTGGAAGCATAACAGGTGTTTCCCAGACTATAGTGAGGAGATACAATGGATTCAGAAAAGCCAGTAAATGTTAACATTTCCACACATCACTCCTTCAGCCAGGCTGATAAAGTGTTGGCTTCCTCTTGTTGCCCCTCTTCAGTTAGAACAGAGCTCTAAGGTGAACTCACAATTGCACAATGACATAATCACTGTCAGCAGCAATCACATGACCACAGGCTGCTGGACCACTGTGATGGGCTCCATCATCAGTATTCTCCCCTGCTCCTTTTGTATGGCCACCATCAGGACTATCAGGAATGGATACGAGATTTTATATTTTGTTAGGACACCTCCAGGATTGGTTCTGGGCAGAGTCTTCAAACTATGATGCTCTATGTTAGTGAGTAGCCTGTTCGTGGCCTTCTCTGTGAGCCCTGCTTTCCTGTCCTTGATCTAAAGAAAGAAAATGAGGCTGAGAGAACTGAAATGGCCCCTCCCACAGACCAGGACTTCAACATACCTCTTCTTGCCCATTCACTAGCCCCTCAACTTTTGTCCAATCTTCACACCATCCCCAGTTCTCATCATACTATGGTGCCGTGCAAGACACCAAGTAGGTTATCCATCCCCTGTGCTTGCATGTATTCAGTGAGTACATACTGTGCTTGACATTGTTCTAGCAGTAAGAAATAGAAATATAAAGTAGACAAACGAAGCCCCTAACCTTAAGGTAGAAGATAAGCAAGTGTAAAGGCATAAGAAGTGAGAGAGGCACCAACCCCAGCTTTACTCTAACTTCAAGGGCTCAGTGTATGAAAAGGTCCATTCCAGTTTCTTGTTCTTGAAATTGGATCTTTAGGAATAATAGTATATCAACCTCAATCCAATGGGTGTAAGACCAAGACTGTAGTTCCAATGGCTATAAGATCAGTTATTTTTCTACATTCAATGATTGTCATCATCACTTTAACAATGTTAAGGCTCTGCAACATACATTTTTAGTCTGCAATAATTTTTATTTAAAAAAAGCAAGTGAATTATCTTAACTACTATGCAAATAATATTGTATAAAAGTGTGGCTACTGCTAGACTTGATAAAAACACCATAGAGAATACCTCTGTATAATGAATCACAATGTTATTTAGACCATTCTTATAGGAAAGTGTGATTTGGCCACTGAGTTGCAGTTTAAGGGTGACGGTGTGTGTAGAATGATTGTGTTCAAAGTACACAAATTAGAGAATCCCCGCATGACTTAATATCTGTGAGAACAGATCCGACCTCATTATTCTATGACTATTTTGAAATCTGATTATTCTAGAATCTTTATTTTTCAAAATGATTTTCTCAAACAGATAATAACTGGATAAATATAATAAAAGTTACTTTGGTGTACATAGTAGCAATAAGAGTTAAAAGATGGGAATAACCAGGTATAATAAATGAAGAGAATTATTAACATCAGGGCAAAAATGAGAAGCTGAGGCCAGAATGGCTCACAGGCTTATAGATTTTGAAGTTGCAGTAACTTTAAAAAGGGATTTGAAAAGTAAAGTTAAATAAAGCTAGACAATTAATAATCCTAAAGAATAAACTTATTTTAAAAAAGATGTAACACTTTAAGAAATGACCACAGAGTAGTCTGTAACTGAAGTTTCAACTAATTTCAAAGAATCAGCACTATCCTGACTACATATTTTATCACAATAAAATAAATTAGATAACAGCAATTAAATGATAATTTAAACTCTCCATATTGATAACTTAAATTATCCAATGGTTTAAAGAAGAAAGTGTATTACAAACTATAAAATGTCTAGTTTTACACAGCAGCACAAGTAATGTCAAAAACATATGACTTGCAGCTAAAGCAATACAGAAATTCCAGCATTAAATTCTGTTAAATATAAGAAGAAAAATTATGTACCATTTGAAACAATCAACTCAAAGAGATTGACAAAGAGTGACTTTCATCAACCATCTTAACTGAACTTCAAAAAATAAAAAAAGAAACAAGTAGGACTTAATGTAATACAAAATAACAAAAATCAATAATAGAAGTAAGAGACAAAACTGAGAGCTGGATCTTGAGAAAAACTGAAAATATACAAGCATCTGAAGACTGAAGGAAGAATTAAAAATTTAAAACTATGTTGAATGAGCATCATCTAGAATAATAAATACTCATGTATTTCAATAAATTTGAAAAATATTAAACTGAATGGTTTTAGGGCAACATAACAAAAAATGAATTAAGGGAATAAAAATTTGAATTATAATTTTAATAGTTATTTTATTTGTAAAAGTCCTTTTAGCCCCTCCTATAACTCTTTCTTTCTCTTTCTCTCTCTCTCTCTCACACACACATGAAAAAGTCACTTCATTAATTCACATTTTATTGAATATCAATAAATAAAATTGCTGCACAAATAAAAAAATAAGAAAATTGTATTTAATGAGCTCTTATAATCGATGTCTGATCAAGATTAGTACAATAAATACAAAGGATAGTTTCATTACAACAAAATGATTTTACTTATAAACATGGATGAAAAATAACAAATGTCATCAATAAAATATTAACAAATGGAATTCACTATTGTATTAAATAAAGAATTATGACAAAATTGGATTTATAACAGAAGTAGAAGGATGGTACAATACCAGAAAAGATCAATATAATTCACTCCATTAAGATTTAAAGAAAATAAATATGATGATCACAGAGGCAGAGGTAAGATATGAAAAAAAAAAGTTGATGAGACAAATGGATATCCATATAAAAAAGAATTGATTTGGTCTTCTATCTCACACCATACATAAAAGTTAATGTGTATCATAGACTTACATGTATGAGCTAAAACTATACATTTTTTGGAAGAAAAGGATTTATGGGAGTAAATCATGATCTTGAATTAGACAGTAATAACTTAGTTATGATACCAAAAGCAACAGTGATAAAAGAAATATTAAGTTGAACTTAATAAAAATCACATTTACACTTCAAAAAACACTATCAAGAAAGTGAAAAGACAACTGCAGAGTAGGAGAACTCTGCAAATTATGATCTGATGATAATTGCATTCAGAATGTATTTATTTTTAAAACCCTTACAGCTCAAGAAAAAATAAAAGACAATCAAATTTAAAGGTGGGCAAAGGATTTAAATACACCCCTCTCCAAAGAAGATTATAAATTCAAATAAGCACATGGAAAGATGTTCAATACCATCAATCATCACGGAAGTATAAATCAAAACCAAAATGACCTATCACTTTACAAACAGTTGGATGGCTATAACTAAAAAGATAGTAACAAGTGTTGGCAAGAATATTAAGAAATTTGAACCCTCATAAACTGCTGGAGAGAACTCAAGATGGTAGAGCCATTTGGGAAACAGTTTGGCTATTCCTCAAAATGTTAAACATAGAATTGCATATGACCCAACATTTCCACTCCTAGTTCTCTACTTGAGGGAAATCAAAACATGCATCCACACAAAACCTTATATACGAATGTTCCTTGTATCCTTAATCACAATACTCAAAAGGTGAAAATAGCACAAATGTCCATTAATCAATCCATGAATATACAACATATAGCATGTCTCTATAATGAAATTCATTTGCAATAGCAGAGAATGAACTACTGATAAGACATGGATGAATATGAAGATCATAAAATAATATGCTAAGTGAAAGAAGGCAGAGATAAAATATTACACATGATATGAAATTCACATTGATATGAAATGTCTAGAATTGGCAAATCTATAGATACTAAAAGTAGATTAATGATTTCCTAAGCCTGGGTGGGAACTGAGTGGGTGGAAAATAATGTATAGGGGGTGGGAATTATTTCTTAATAACTACTATGTTACTTTGGGGATGATAAAAATAATTTAAAATTAGATTTGGTGGTGGTTATACTCCCCTGCAAATGTATTAAAAAGCATTAAAAACCACTTTAAATTCATGAACTTTAGAGTATGTAAATTATCTCAATATAGTTGTTAATTAAAAAAATTCTATTTGGAGAAATTGGTTGCGCAAAAGATAATGTATATATTTATTACTTTTGCTATATGATACTGAAAATGACCATCAGTGACAGTTGTATTTGACCAAACTGCTGGTAAATTAACACAATTAGAGAAGCCCAAGATACATATGTAAATTTTAACAGCCACATATTATTTTAAAATATTCTCAGCAAAATAGAATTAAAAGAAAAATTCCCAGTCTGATAAATTATGTCTTGCAAAACATTGAAAACCTCATTTCAATTGGCAAAAGAGCATCAGTAGAAGAATAGATAAATCAGAGGGGCGGTTCCAAGATGGCCAAATAGGAACAGCTCCAGTCTACAGCTCCCAGCATGAGCAACGCAGAAGATGGTTGATTTCTGCATTTCCAACTGAGGTACCCAGTTCATCTTGCTGGGGCTTGTCGGACAGTGGGTGCAGGACAGTGGGTGCAGCCCACCAAGCGTGAGCCGAAGCAGGGCGGGGCATCGCCTCACCCAGGAAGTGCAAGGGGTCAGGAAATATCTAAAATTGACACCCTAAGATCACAATTAAAAGAACTAGAGAAGCAAGAGCAAACACATTCAAAAGCTAGCAGAAGGCAAGAAATAACAAAGATCAGAGCAGAACTGAAGGAGATAGAGACACAAAAAACCCTTCAAAAAATCAATGAATCCAGGAGCTGGTTTTTGGAAAAGATCAACAAAATTGATAGACCGCTAGCAAGACTAATAAAGAAGAAAAGAGAGAAGAATCAAAGATGCAATAAAAAATGATAAAGGGGATATCAACACTGATCCACAGAAATACAGACTACCATCAGAGAATACTGTAAAAACCTCTATGCAAATAAACTAGAAAATCTAGAAGAAGTGGATAAATTACTGGACACATACACCCTCCCAAGACTAAACCAGGAAGAAATTGAATCCCTGAATAGACCAATAAAAGGCTCTGAAATTGAGGAAATAATTAATAGCCTACCAACAAAAAAAGTCCAGGACCAGACGGATTCACAGCTGAATTCCACCACAGGTACAAGGAGGAGCTGGTACCATTCCTTCTGAAGCTATTCCAATCAAAAGAAAAAGAGGGAATCCTCCCTAACTCATTCTGTGAGGCCAGCATCATCCTGATACCAAAGCCTGGCAGAGACACCACAAAAAAAAGAGAATTTTAGGCCAATATCCCTGATGAACATTGTGGCAAAAATCCTCAATAAAATACTGGCAAACCAAATCCAGCAGCACATCAAAAAGCTTATCCACCATGATCAAGTGGGCTTCATCCCTGGGATGCAAGGCTGGTTCAACATACACAAATCAATAAATGTAATCCAGCATATAAACAGAACCTAAGACAAAAACCACATGATTATCTCAATAGATGCAGAAAAGGCCCTTGACAAAATTCAACAGCCCTTCATGCTAAAAACTCTCAATAAACTAGGTATTAATGGGAAGTATCTCAAAATAGGAAGAGCTATTTATGACAAACCCACAGCCAATATCATACTGAATGGGCAAAAACTGGAAGCATTCCCTTTGAAAATGGGCACAAGACAGGGATGCCCTCTCTCACCACTCCAATTCAACATAATGGTGGAAGTTTTGGCCAGGGCAATCAGGCAGGAGAAAGAAATAAAGGGTATTCAATTAGGAAAAGAGGAAGTCAAATTGTCCCTGTTTGCAGATGACATGACTGTATATTTAGAAAACCCCATCCTCTCAGCCCAAAATCTCCTTAAGCTGATAAGCAACTTCAGCAAAGTCTCAGGATACAAAATCAATGTACAAAAATCACAAGCATTCTTATACACCAATAACAGACAAACAGAGAGCCAAATCATGAGTGAACTCCCATTCACAATTGCTTCAAAGAGAATAAAATACCTAGGAATCCAACTTACAAGGGATGTGAAGGACCTCTTCAAGGATAACTACAAACCACTGCTCAACAAAATAAAAGAGGATACAAACAAAAGGAAGAACATTCCATGCTCATGGATAGGAAGAATCAATATCGTGAAAATAGCCATACTGCCCAAGGTAATTTATAGATTCGATGCCATCCCCATCAAGCTACCAATGACTTTCTTCACAGAATTGGAAAAAACTACTTTAAAGTTCATATGGAACCAAAAAAGAGCCCGCATTGCCAAGTCAATCCTAAGCCAAAAGAACAAAGCTGGAGGCATCACGCTACCTGACTTCAAACTATACTACAAGACTACAGTAACCAAAACAGCATAGTACTGGTACCAAAACAGAGATATAGACCAACGGAACAGAACAGAGCCCTCAGAAATAATACCACACATCTACAACCATCAGATCTTTGACAAACCTGACAAGAACAAGAAATGGAGAAAGGATTCCCTATTTAATAAATGGTGCTGGGAAAACTGGCTAGCCATATGTAGAAAGCTGAAACTGGATCCCTTCCTTACACCTTATACAAAAATTAATTCAAGATGGATTAAAGACTTACATGGTAGACCTAAAACCATAAAAACCCTAGAAGAAAACCTAGGCAATACCATTCAGGACATAGGCATGGGCAAGGACTTCATGTCTAAAACACCAAAAGCAATGGCAACAAAAGCCAAAATTGACAAATGGGATCTAATTAAACTAAAGAGCTTCTGCACAGCAAAAGAAACTACCATCAGAGTGAACAGGCAACCTACAGAATCAGAGAAAATTTTTGCAATCTACTCATCTGACAGAGGGCTAATATCCAGAATCTACAAAGAGCTCAATCAAATTTACAAGAAAAAAACAAACATCCCCATCAAAAATTGGGCAAAGAATATGAACAGACACTTCTCAAAAGAAGACATTTATGCAGCCAACAGACACATGAAAAAATGCTCATCATCACTGGCCATCAGAGAAAGGCAAATCAAAACCACAGTGAGTTACCATCTCACACCAGTTAGAATGGCAATCATTAAAAAGTCAGGAAACAACAGGTGCTGGAGAGGATGTGGAGAAATAGGAACACTTTTACACTGTTGGTGGGACTGTAAACTAGTTCAACCATTGTGGAAGACAGTGTGGTGATTCCTCAAGGATCTAGAACTAGAAATACCATTTGACCCAGCCATCCCATTACTGGGTATATACCCAAAGGATTATAAATCATGCTGCTATGAAGACACATGCACACGTATGTTTATTGCGGCACTATTCACGATAGCAAAGATTTGGAACCAACCCAAATGTCCATCAATGATAGACTGGATGAAGAAAATGTGGCACATATACACCATGGAATACTATGCAGCCATAAAAAAGGATGAGTTCATGTCCTTTGTAGGGACATGGATGAAGCCGGAAACCATCATTCTGAGCAAAGTATCACGTGGACAAAAAACCAAACACTGCATGTTCTCACTCATAGGTGGGAATTGAACAATGAGAACACCTGGACACAGGAAGGGGAACATCACACACCGGGGCCTGTTGTGGGGTGGGAGGAGTGGGGAGGGATAGCATTAGGAGATATACCTAATGTAAATGACGAGTTAATGGGTGCAGAACACCAACATGGCGCATGTATACATATGTAACAAACCTGCACGTTGTGCCCATGTACCCTAGAACTTAAAGTATAATAAAAAAAGAATAATGATAAAGATCAATAGACTTTTAAAATAAACAAATAATGTGTTCTAGGTTAAAAAAAAAACGGACCTAGAAATTTTAAGTAGTGGGATTTTGGCTGTGTTATAATGAAGAGTCAGGGTGTGGATAAATGGAAAAGTAGGACAGATATATTTAAATCAGAGGAAATGGTTGGCTTGAGAAAGAAACATGAATGATATACTGAAAAGATCTGAAGGAAACAAATCTGCCTTTTGGAAAAAAAGCAACTTTATTTCTTAGGAAAAGTGGGACAAATGGGTAGAGAGATGGTTCCAAATTATAAAAGGCTTCAAATACTAGGTTGAATAAACATAACCTAATACAAAATTATCATGGGTTTTTAAAATTCGGAAGTGGCACAATAAAAGCAATGTCTTAGGAGGATTCATTTGAGGTAGATATTCTCATTACATGATACTAATGCGCAGAAGATAGAATTTCAGATAACCCAAAAGTGATAAAATTACATAAACCTAAAAAGTAGGCCAGAGAGTAGGGCAACTTTCAGCCTAGAAATATAAATTGTGATACTGATTATTTAAATGGATAGATTTATGGTCCTAGTTCTGGCTTGCACCAGCTAACTATGATAAAACATGGTGGCAGTAAGCAGGAGAACTAGAGGTGAAAGCTGTTCAATTAAAAATGTCTTGGCGGGCACAGTGGCTCACGCCTGTAATCCCAGCACTTTGGGAGGCCGAGGCGGGTGCATCACTTGAGGTCAGGAGTTTGAGACCAGCCTGGCCAACATGGTGAAACCCTGTCTCTACTAAAAATACAAAAATTAGCCTGGTGTGGTGGCGCGTGCCTGCAATCCCAGCTACTCAGAGAGGCTGAGGCAGGAGAATTGTTTGAACCTGGGAGGCAGAGGTTGCAGTGAGCTGAGATCGTGCCACTGCACTCCAGCTTGGGTGACAGAGCGAAACTCCGTCGATAAATAAATAAGTAAAAAGAAGAATAGATAAATCAACATGTTGTATTCACAAAACAAAAAGGTAATTTAAGTAATTGAAATAGAACTATTATATCAACTTTATCTCAAAATTATATTATATAAAAAAAGGAAGTTAAAATTACATAAATTAAAACAGAGATAGGTATATTAATTATGAATGCAAATATATAATAACATTTTAAAACATGGACCAAAATTATACAAAACAAGTACACAACAATATTTGCTCTTGAGGAAAAGAAGGAAGAGAATGGAGCTAGAAAGAATAAAAAAGAAGCTTCAGATTTATCTGCAATATTGTTTAATTTAAAATTTATACAATGCAAAGATTAGTAAGTCAACTTATATACATTTTTGCAATGAATACATGGATGACTGTTATTATTTGTAATTTATTGTGATTTCAGATTTATAAATTAATTCCAGGCTGATTTTAATGTGTTTTAAATGTCCTTGTAAATTGCTAAATTATATTTTTTAAAGAGTAATGTTACATAAAATTGTTAAATTGCTATATTAAGGGTTTGTTAAACAATACCTTAAGTGTTTGTGTGAATCTATTTCGTCCTATAAGAATAAAATACATTTTTATTTTACTTTATCACAAAAAGCCACAAAGATATTCAGATATCATAGGATATTTTACCACCAGGCATACTGATGACACGATTTTGTTAACCATGTGAAATGAAGTACATGGTGTTTATTAAAGTTAATTTTTATGGCTATTTCACTGTTCAAGTTTTCCACATTTCTTGAAAAATATTTGTTATATTACACATTTTAAATTTAGATAGTGTTCTATAGATTACTTTCATTCAATACTAATCTCACTACTAAAATGCATCTTCCCTATAAGTAATACTTTCTTATTTCAACTCTATCCAAAGGATCCACAAAAACACCTAAAATGGGTGTGATGTTCAGAAGCCTTAATAAATAATTGTTGACTTAATGAATTACTTCATGGAGTTCTAATAGAAATATCTTGTTAACGATATGCATTTTATTTTATTTTATTCTATTTTATTTTTTAGATGGAGTTTCACTCTGTTGTCCAGGCTGGAGTGCAGTGGCCCGATCCCGGCTCACTGCAACCTCCGCCTCTCAGATTCAAGAGATTTTCCTGCGTCAGCCTCCGGAGTAGCTGGGACTACAGGAGGGCGCAACAGCACGACCTGGTAATTTTTGTATTTTCAGTAGAGACGGATTTTCACCCTGTTGGCCAGGCTGGTCTCGAATACTGACCTCAAGTGATCCGCCTGCCTCGGTCTCCCAAAGTGCTGGGATTACAGGCGTGAGCCACCGTGCTTGGCCCTATTTTTATTTTTACACAATGGAATTGAGTCATTTAATGCAGTTTTCCCTGTCTGCTGTATTTGAGTCATGCTTGTCTTTGTGCGTTACTTCTCTAAATGAGGTATTGCTTGAGAAAATCTTTTTTTTTTTTTTTTTTTTTTTTTTAGGATATTCTTTATCTACTTTCTCCAATATCTACTACTTTGCACGGGGTGGTGGGGGGAGGATGAAAGAATCCTGGGTCTATATTTTCATATTGCCCCAACAACACTACTTCAGGCAAAAACAATTTGATGCTTGTGGAATGTGTGGACTTTAAAAAATAATATAATACATAACATATTTTCATAGAACTTATAATAAGCACTCAATGAGTGCTTGTTGCTATTACTTTACTGGTTGGTTGAGTAGAGATCAGGGAGAGGAAAATATATTCCTTGTCATTCGGGCTCCTTTTAATAGGGTAATCAATATATTATTTTAAAGTAACATTCCTATACTATTGGTTATGTGTGCTTGTTTACGTTGGACATCTCTGCAATTTATTCATTTTTAAAATGTGGGTAAAGGAAACCCATTTGATATACTTGATCAAAGATTTAATACATGTAGATACAGTTCAAATGCAAAATTTCCCATAGTATTGGGAGGAAAACCTACATCCCACACTTATGTTGTATTATTTGTAGGCTGGAAGTGCTTTCCAAATATCTTCGGATTTATGAATAATATTAATTAGTATTTACACAGAAATGTAGTGCTTAAATAATGCCTACATGTATTCCGTCTGATCAAATACATAAAATGTAGATGAACACATGAGCTTCTGGCACTTTCCATTACATCTCACTGGCTTCAAATGTAATTTTGTTTGTTGTATTGTTCTTACTGCATTGTAATTGCCTTCAAAAGGAATATACTTTGGATACTTATTAGATAATTAATGACAAAATAAAATTTTCAAAGATTTTCTTGCTAGGTTTAGAGTTTAGGTGAGTCCTTTTAAAATTGCAACTCTGTTGAAAAATTTGGCTAAAATGTCAGCACTTTGGCTAGAAGTTCCAAGGTACGAGCTTCTATAAAACGGACCCAGAAACGTGCAATTGCATCCAATCCTAGTGCTGTTCAACAGCTTCGTGTTGAATATAAAATGCCAGTGTGTTATTAAAATGTCTTCAAAAATAAAAGTATTTCATACATGTTGAATATATTCGCTTCTAAAGTCAAGTCGTGTAAGAAAAGTCCCAGTTATTGATGAGTCTGACTGTTGAGGCCTTTTGAAAATCCTTATGTAAAAATATCTAAGTGTCCAAAGTAAAGGTGCACATGAATAGAACTAAATTATATGTCAAGAAAGGAAAGAGGATTGACTGTTCATTTTTAGGACTCACCTACACGGAGTCATCCTACCCTAGTACTTCTTAGGTTGTTTCACATCTTTTTTATCTTCAAATCCAAGATATATTCAGAGAAAGTTTGTGATCCAGTATAAATCAAAAGGTGATTGAAAGTTCTATTAAACCCGAGTTCCTGCATAAAATTATGTAAGGGCAGGAGGTGGGGAGAGACAGAAGCATTGAAGGAAAAGTCAGGCTAAACCTGACAGGGAAAGAGAAGTCTTGTGTGCCTTGCATAGGAGACACCATTGGTGGTCCACAAATGGCAGGGAGGTGTACACACACCTGGGAAGGTCAAGGAGGGATATGGCTACCTGTGCTCCTAGGGAGATAACAACCACCAGGGCAATGCAGGATCTGCAAGTATACCATGCTCAACGATTCTTCTTGGTAATAATTTAAGCATATTTTCAAGAAGATTTAAAAAAAAACACTCATGCTTGTTAAATTGATCCTAAAATCTGTTGAGAATAATTATAAAAGTTAAATTTAGAGTTGGATTATATGTCAGGAAAAAACTGGATACTAGTAGAGAACTAGAGACTGGGCTATGCTTTCATGAAATAAGCCTCAGAAAAATGAGTCAATGCCCACTTGAGCTTGGGAAACTTGCGCTCAGGTATGCATAAAGAGGGCTGATTGAACCAGGTGAGCAGCATATTTGCTGAGAGGTCAAATGGGCCATGTTATGACATGCTGATGGCGGGAGAGATGCTATTCAACCAGATATGGGCTGGCCTAAAAAGTTTAATGAAGTCTGCCCAAACTTGTTTTACTGTCAGACTTTCAATGTATTTTTCATTTTTGAACCATAGAGGGCCTAGTTGAAAGATTTTAAAAGTCATTAATTCAGTACAATAAAATATTAAAAATATGAGGTCAGAAGAGCCTCTCAAAGAATTTTCCCCATATCCTCATCTAAACTCTTCTGCCAAATCACTCACATTTTCAACTTGTTGAAAGCCTGCTCTGCATCTGTGGGAGGGCTGGCATTTCTTGACCTCCTCCTGCCACGTTTGATGAGGAAGGTGGTAATGGTATCCAACTTAAGAGGGCAAATAAGCTCTGAAAGCATTTTCCTTTCAGCTCTAAAAATACTCTCCATTAAATTTGTGCATTTCCTCAAATCTTATTGCCCTCCTCTCTTCTTCCCCATCAAAGCCACTCTTTATCATAGAATCACTTGCTTGGTAACTGGCAGTTGAAACTAGAAATCCAATACATTCTAAGCCCTGTTAGCTAGAGCAACCAGACGTTTAATAAATATCTGTCATTTTAACTATGTTCTGTGGTTCTCAATATGTCTAACTTAAGAAAAAATGGTGGGATAGAATTTTAACACAGACAAGTATGAGGTACAGTACAGATATTGAGGAATTACAGTACACCTGGTTTGATATCTTCTGTGAAACTTTAATTGACTGTCAAGTCTGACCTAAAATAACAGCCAAACTATCAAAAATCCATCATTTCACATATACATTGAAAGCATAAAGACTTTAACTGATTTTTCAGTTTTATTTGTACTACATAATCATTAACAAGAAAATGACATCATTTATTAACTGTGAATTTTAAAAATGTTGATGAAAGTAGAATAAAAACAAACTTAAGAAATATATGTAGTAATCTGTCGGTAGCCTAAGAAAACAGTGTGAATGTTTCAAATGAGTATTTAAAATATCACTGCATGCATAAATTATGAAACTTAAATATCATTGTATGTTATTGTATGTAAGAAATTAGCATACAGTTCATGCCAGAATATATCCTTGTTGAAATGTAAGTGCGTTCCACCTTTCTAAAAAGCTATTTAGGAATACTTAGTAACTAAAAAATGCTTGCACCCATTAATCCACTATCTTCAGTATAAAAAGTCTTTGATAAGAAAATAACGAGTGATTTTCACAGAAATACAACTTTTAATAATATTTCTAATAGCAAAATATTCATAAGCATTTTTTAAAACCCAAGTTAAAATATTGTATTTTGTAAACACATAAAAATGCCACAGATAATAAACATTGAATGTGTACAAAAGGTTAAGGATAATCATTGCTAGGTGGTGAAATTTCACATTGCTTATTTTATTCTTGATATTTTTTAGTGTTTTAAATATAACTTTTAATGAGCATAAACAAAATCTATAACCAAAAACAAAACAAAACAGAAAATGCAGCATATAGGTGTTGAAAAGTCATTTGAATGAGCTTCAAATATGATATTCTATTTCTTAATTGAGTGTTTGGTATTTAGGTGAGTGTTTTCATGATGATGATGATAATTTTTATAGTTTATATGCATTTCTTGGCATGTTTGAAATAATTTATAACATTTTTTGGAAAGTCATTTCATGAAAATCACCATTCTTTTCTTAGTAAAACAAAACCTCTTGCAGAAACAGAAAAAAGTATATGTTTTTAAAAGTATTATTAAAATTAATATATTATTTTTCAAATATTAAATATTTTAAAATATAAATGGCACAGTCTCAAAAAATCAGTAGTTAAGAGAATAACAAACAAAAATGGTTATTGTCTTCACTAACATTTCACATGAATCAGAAATCAATCAACATCTCAAGCAGAGAAATGTATAAAATGGAAAGTATAAATACCAAAAAAAAATAAGAAAAATATTTTATTACTGTAGTTGTCAGTAATATCTACCTTAGAAATTCAGGACAATCGATTGAAAAAAAAATTCTTGTAGAAGAAAATCATGCCTGGCAACATAGTGAGACCCTGTCTCTATGAAAAAAAAAAATGAAAATTGGCCAGGTGTGGTGAGGTACAACCGTAGTCCCATTTACTTGGGAGGATGAGGTGGGAGGATTGCTTGAGCCTGGGAGGCTGAGGCTGCAGTGAGCAATTATTGTGCCACTGCACTCCAGCTTGAGTAAGAGAGTGAGACCCTGTCTCAAAAAAAGAAAAAAAAAAAAGAAAAACGAAACGAAAAGAAAAAAGAAAACCACTGAGAAAATTCAATTTTGCTTATATTATAATGTTGATGCCTTTCATATATATGTATATATATATGTATATATTTCTAACCAGTTAGAAATTATGATGCAAAAAGGCAGAAATCTTGATATTTGAGTGTTGTCGTCATAAATCCTGTAATAAGTTTTCTGAGTTTCTTGGTTTGTCTAGACTTCTGATAGAAAAATGAGGAAAAGCAAATGCAATTGAAGTTTTGGGTGCTGAAAATTCCAGGCCCAGAAGAAAGGAGGAATTTTTAAAATTAGCAAGTTTGCTCACTCTGAGAAAAACATGAAGGATTTTTCCTTCTTTACTGAATCTCTCTAATAGAGTTACACATTTTATTTACCTTGTACATTTGTTATTTACTTGTTTTTATGTTTTAATATGGAAAATTTTAATCATATACATATTTAGATAAATTAGTATAATTAACCTCAATGTACCTATTACCTAGATTCCACAATTATCAACTAATGGCCAGTTGTGTTTCTTACAAACCCTTACCAACTTCTTTCTCACCAAAATTATTTTGAAGCAAATTCCAGATATCATTTTATCTGTATTTATTTCAATAAAAGATAAAAAAAAATTTCTTTAACGTAGTCTCCAAACTACTGTGCAACTAAAGTTAAAACAATAATCTCTTTATGTCATTAAAAATTCAGTCAGTTCTCCAACTGACTCATGTTATAATTTTTAGTAGCTTGAATCAGTATCTAAAAAGCAAAAATGGCATTTTTTTTTCAATTGGTTGAAAGCGTTCTTAAATCTCTTTTAATCTATATGTGCCCATCTCCATTATTTTTCACTCTCTTGCAATTTTTTTTTGGAAAAAAATTACCATGGAGATTGTAAAATGATTGTATCATCAAAGTGTTATTGGACATGCTCCTCTGCACCTGTATGTCCTTTAAATTAACATTTGGGTCTAGAGGCTTGATTTAACTCAGGTTTGATGTTTTCTGAGGGGGTAAAAATACTTTATATTCATGGGTAGTGTTGTGTTCCTCCATGGCTCCAGGCATAATGCCAAGGCATTGTTCTTTTGGTGGCACCAGCAGCCATTGAAGGACAACGCTTAGGTTCATTAATTCATTAAGTGTGACCAAATGATGATAATCCAATTATATTACTTTTCTTAATGTATTACCTGGACTGCTTCTATAAATAAAACTTTCCCTAAACTTATATTTGGTTATCCAATGGTATATTTTTTTAATGAAAAAGATGTAGACAAATTCTGTATTCTATTTACCAGTTTTTAAAAATAGTAAGTTGATTTGCTAACATATTCCCAAATTGACCAACTTTTTTTCTTTAATTTATATTTTATAACATTGCTTTACAAACTCTAATGGATTGTGTCCCTAATTCTTAATGTGCTTAATATGAGTTAATAGATATCCCCATGTTGTTTTGCTTTTATCTTTTTACATGTTGTAATTGCCCACAATTATTCATTGAACCCAATTAAAACTTTATAAAAGCTTTATCACAGTAGATTTAAGAAATATAGCAATGATATATTTTTTGTAAGATTTTAAGATGTAATTATTAAATGTGATAATTGTTATATTTAATTATTAAATGTAATTGTGTTGTGAAAATAATTTAACACCAGTCTCTGGCCATTTCTCATGATTTTTTATAGAATAAACCAGGGAAGAGTTTGTTTCTTTAGAATCAAATAATATAAACAATTTATAACAAATGGAGTGTAAAACAATGACATTTCCCTTTAAAAAGTTTGTAGCACTCTAAATTCTTAGTTGTGGCACTTAGGAACTCCATGTTTCCCATTATCATCATCAACATATTATTTTTATTTCTTGTAACATATAGTATGTGAAAAATCATATCTCATAGTTTAAACTTTGATTACTCCACTACATAACATTTATTCAATGTTAGGATCTCAGCTCTGATTTCTTTTCTTTCCAGAAATTTCTAGGAGCACTCAGAATGGTAATGTGCATATTCACATTGTTACTAAAGAAATTTCAGGTTTTACAGCCAAAAATGTCTCTCTGCCACATTGTGACATAGCTTTTTGTAGAAATTAACTCATGTGTCTTCCAATGGAGAGGTAGCTATCCCCAGATTATATACCAGTAAAGAAGCCAAAATAACAGTGCCGTTAATCAGAGTGGGAATAATTTGGTGGTCTAAAACATTATGTATGTATTTCTCTAAAATATAGCAATGGTGAATTCATTTTTTCTAGATTTCTGTCTACATACATCTCATGAACTTCTTTTTGTATGGTTCACTATAGTTTTGCTTATGATTAATTCAGGACCTGGATAAGTCCTTTGGTGCTAACACAAAATGCTCAGTGCCTGCATTTTGTGGCTCTAGCTACATATTGTAACCTCCTTGTAAGTAGTTACTCTCTAGCCTATTTTATCAGTTATTATCCCAGCAGAGAGCAGATGGCAGAGTCAAATTGGATACATAAAAAGTGTCTAATGAAAAGACTATTAGCAAGGGGGTCATGGAGTTTTAGGGAAAAAAATAAGGAATGGTGCCATATCCCAGGACTAGTGACAGCAGAGACCTGCTAATGTCCCTAAACCTGAAGTGGCTTTTTTTTCCAGTTATATGAATTGGTAATTATGAAACTAATTTACATGTATTCTAGAATTGGGAAAATAAATAAATATATATTAAGAATAATAGCAACCAGGTTTCTGATGGTTGGAGAAGGGAGTTAAACCTATGGCAAGGGGAAGACTAGAATGAATCCTAGGGTGTTAGATTAGATGTGGAGTTATCACTAGGAATTGATTGGCCTTCCCTTAGTCTGTTTGCTGACTGAGTCTAGAAGCAGCACCACAATAGCAATGAGCAAAACTATGTCACTAAAAGGAACCAGAACTCAATGGAGAAATGGCTCATTCCAGGCCTGGGCACTGTAAGTACAAGATAAGCCTGGAAAATTTTGTTGAGTCTCAAAATAAGGGAGTGCTCAAAGAATGGTAAGACATGGCAGAAGGACATTAGAGCCAACTTGCAGGGCCCTCAGAGGCCAAGATTGTGACAATCTGAAAAATAAATGATGATGGTAACAGAATGTAACTCCATTGAATAAATTGGGAATGCCTGAGTCTGGACAGAAGTAAATAAAGAATAAATAAATAAATAAAGAGGGGAGAAGAAAAAAGGAGAAATGATTACCAAAGTATGAAAAATCCACACTACAGGAACTGTACAGTAATGCAGCTCACTGAGGCTGAACCAGAAAGGAGAAAGCTGGAAGGCAAGGAGGAATAACCTGATGTCTCTCTCTCTTCCACCCTACCAGCCTTCTGCTGGTGCCTCCCATAAACATTTACTGCCAAAAACAAAGGGATTCATGAAAGTCAAAGCTGTTTACAATTTGTTCCCAACTTATCTTTTTTCCACCACTCTCTTGCCCACCTTCATAAACTATGCTCCAATCTTATAAGAATACGTGATGTTTTTGAAGCCACTCACCTATATCACTGTGGCTTTACCTACCTATGCCTTTCTTTCCTTGGAGCACTCTTTCCTTACTTATTTCACACAAAATTTTGCACAAATTCTTAAAGGCCTAGGTTAAATATAACCTCACTTTTCTTCTTTCCAACCTTCACAAGACAGGTGAAATTTTACCCCCATTTTCCTTAGGCTGAGATAATCAATGAGATTTGTGCTTCAGAAACATTTATTCAAAAATTAATTAGCAATACATACCATGTAGTACTATATATGTCTTGTTTTTTTTTTCTTAAATCTACCTCCCAGCTAAACAAATTGTATTTTTTGCATATTCTCCATAGAGAGTTCAGGCATTCTATAAATAATTGTTTGATTGAATATACGATATCTTAAGTTATACAGAAATCTGATTTTCACACTATTCTTTATGAAACCCTGTATTTAGTTGCAGTGTTAAAGATTCAGATTCTCAGATCACCAGGCATCCTCATCACCATCCAGCTATTTCAACCAGATCACCAGCCCTTACATTTTACAGTCAATATTCTCTTTGAACAAAACATTCCACTGCTAAAATACTAAGACACTATAGAAAATTGTAAGGATATCTGGCATTTATACAACTGTCATGGAAAGTTACTCTCTCTCTCTCTCTCTCTCTATATATATATATATATAATTTGATCGGATTATTATTACCTAACATCTTATAGGAGTAATGAAAAGTCTTTTATGTCTCCCTTTTATAAATAAAGAAATAGAGAAGCAGAAGTTTCAATAACTTTCTCAAGGTCAATTATCTTGGAATGGAGACAGAATGTTCATGATGGATATTACTTTCTTTGAAGATGTTTATGAAAACAAAAGAGAAAATGTGAATATAGACGCTGATTCTCCTGGCACTGTTCTTGTGAATAAGGCAAAAATACTGAATTTAAAATTAGAATATCTATATCAGACCCTCTCATCTTCTCGCCAAGTAACCCTGAACAAATATTGCAAACTCTGCCTGTGAAAAGGGAGGACAATCTTCTTTTGATGTGGCTTCTTTCCTTCTTCAGGTCATGATTAAATAATCATTTTCTCTACAAGGAGTGTCGTCCTTCTAGCCTGAGGGCATTACTCTGTGTCCTGAATGGGAGTGTTCTGCTTTTCCTTCAGTAACCCACTCTGGCTGGGGAAATGAATTGCTGCCAGTTTTATGCACCAAAGAAATTGTTGCTCTTCCTAGAGCTGCTGGGTTGAATTGGAGATTTGCTCACATTAACTCCTCAGTGATTGTTACTACAAGAAGTGCTTTATTTGGCAACTTTTTCTATAGCAAGCAAAGAATCTCAAGCTGGTTCCAAGAAGGAGAAGGTATAAGTGTCCACATGAAAGATGGTTTACAGAAATCTAAGAACAGAAACATTACAGGAGCAATCTGAACACTTGGAACTAGAAGGGGAATCTAGACATCTGATTGCTCCAAGTACCTCAGTGGCAAAAAGAGCCATGGGGTTTCCATTCCAGTAATTGGCCATGAATATGAACACAGTCATCACCTGTATGTCTGTTTCTTTCTATGCCAATAACTCATGTGTCTTCCACGTTTCTTGCTGAAATCCTCAAGAAAGTCAGACCTGCTGGTCTAGTCATGCTTCTCAAAATGTAATGTGAATACGAATCATCTAGGAATCTCAGTAAAATGCAGACTGATACAGGAGTTTTGGATAGAGTCTGAGATTTTGCATTTCTAACAAGCTACCTGGCCACGCCTAAAATGCTTGTCCGTATATCATAGTTTGGGTGGTAATAGGTGTACTAGGCCAATTTAATGGCTTGCTTGTCTTAGGTCATGTGTGTATCATTGTTCTGATTATCTAGGCCAGAGTTTGGAGATAGGTCCTTATTGTATCAAATATAGATCTTTCCACAGAAGCTGTACACATGAATGTTCACCAGAGAAGGGATTAGAATTGGGACAACATTCTTGTTATGTTTCCTGTAGATAGCTATTTCCCATTGAGTATTGGTTTTAGTTCAGCCTCCTTCTCTACTGGTGAGTTTCATCATTGAGGATCAAAAGAGAGTCACACATTCAGAGCTTTCCTACTCACCACATTACCTTCTGCTTTAATTTCAAGATGGAAATAAACTCATTTTCCTATAGCCTATTGGATAGTGAGGAGACTTCTGCTCACCAGTAATTTCACTAAAAAGGTGTCTTTCTTTTAAAAGCAATAGCCTTACCAGTTGAGATGTATATACAAAAACTTCGATCTAAAATTTTTTTTCCACATATTGTGGGAAAATCTAGAAACTGGAATTTTCAATATAAATTCTTCCCCACCTGTAACTGCCGTGATCATCCTAAAACACATGCCTCATCTGATGGCAATCATTGAAAATTCACCTCCTGAATAATGACCACACTCTTCAGCTCTTCAGGGTTCTTCAGAATCTGATCGCAATTTATCTTTCTTTATCGTCTCCCATCATTCCTGCCACATTCCCTACAACTGATTTTTGCCATTATGTAATTTAGAGAACCTTCCAAGACTCTGTAATTTTGCCCCAGCTCTCTCTGCCTAGAATGTACTTCCATATGTTTTTACAGCTCAATTTCTGCTCGCCCATTGATAATTCCACCCACAATTAATTACATCACTATCTTGGTTCCAACAGCTCTCAGGAGATACCCTAAAATAGCACTTAGCACAGTGTCTTTGTCTATGCATTTGCCTTCTGTAAGTGATTTAAATTATTGTATTTTCATGGGAGCATACTACTAGATACATGGCACCCACTCAGTAAATATTTATTAAATGAGTGAAGTAATAGAAAGGAAGATTAATTTGGTTTGTAGGGGCAAATTTGGAAAGGCAATGGTTAAGGGTGTCCTAGAGAATACGAGGAAAGAAGCAAACAGTAAAGAGGAGGCAATCCAATGACCAGCCAAACATTTATACGCAGGGACTGGACTCACACAGGTATTTCTGCCATTTTTCTTGACTCTGTGCTGGGGCTGTTTACTTTCAGCAAGTTAGAATGATTTTTAAATCCTGGTTCACAACCACCAGAATATTTACTTCTTATAAATAAAACCACCCTTTTATTTTCATCCCTCAGGATTCTGGTGCTACAAAAGCAGCTGAATTGAAAACCAACACCAAGTGGTGACTTATTGAAATGGCAGGGAAAGTAAATTGAATAGCAAATAAAGCCAATTCCTTCACCCTCCTTATCTGACTATTGTTGCTTAGAGGACAAAATATTTAATCCATCCTAGAGCTACAGAATCCAGGGGCTTTTACCACTGAACAGCTTTATTGCAACAGGTTACATATGTTCATCTTGCCATTTAATAGTGTTTGCCTGGAAAACATTTATGTGCATGAGGTCATTTGGTTGAGCTTTATTGTCTTATTCCAGAGAAAAGAAATTTATTTTCTTTGAAGAAGTAGCTCAGTGCTTTCCTGTCTTCTCATGTCATCCCTGACTTTAAATGATTACAGTTTAAACCATCTGACCCAGAGATTTTCAAATCTATATGCTTCCCTTTTGGACCAGAGGGCATGGCAAAAACACAGTTACTATGCTATATGCAGTCTATTATAAAGAGTGACTTACTTTAGTCAGTTTGAAAAAATGCCAGTAAACATTATTAGCTAAAAGCAGAATGCAAGGATATATATGGGTGCATGTTCTTGCCTTTATCATCTGCCTTTATTTCTGTAGAACCATCTTCCTTCTTACAAAAAGAGAAAAAATAAACAGAAGATCAGGGAAGGGGAGAAGCACCCCAGGGGAACCACATCAGTCCAGTCTCTGTAGTTGCACTCAGATGAGGGCAAAATGGTCAACCAGGCAGCTAGTGCCAGCAAGTCTCTCCTCCTGTCTCCTCGGGAAATGCTGGCGGCCTTTTAAAGTTTTAAGTTGCAGTTACTTCGGAGGCAAGGCTTTTGAAGACTATGGAAATGCTAGATATCTGCTTAAATGGAATCCCATTGAGAGAGCCCGTGATGGTTAATTTTAGATACCAACTTGCCTGGATTAAGGGAAACCTAGAGAGCTGGTAAAACATTATATCTGGGTGTGTCTGTGAGGATGTTTTTGGAGGAGATTGGCATGTGAGTAGGTAGACTGAGGGGAGAAAATCTATCCTCAATGTGACTGAGCACCATCCAATTGGCTGGGGGCCTTGGATAGAGCAAACAGGCAGAGGAAAGGATAATTCACTCTTTCTCTCTTGAAGCTAGGACACCCTTCTTCTCCTGTCCTTGACATCAGAACTCCAAGCTTTCCAGCCTTTGGACCCTGGGACTTGCACCAACCACCTCTGCCCCACCCCCACTCCAACCCTGCACCTGGTTCTTACTCCTTTGGCCTTGGACTGAGAGTTACACCATCAACTTCCCTGGTTCTGTCACTTTTGGACTTAGACTGAGCTATGCTACTGGCACCTCAGGGTCTCCAGCTTGCAGATAGCCTGTGTGGGACTTCTCAGTCACTATAATCATGTGAGCTAATCTCATCTCTCTCTCTCTCTCTCTCTCACACACACACACACACACACACACACATCTATCTATCTATCTATCATTTATCTATCTATTCTATCTGTCCTATTTATTCTGTTGGTTCTGTCTCTCTGGAGAAGGTTGACTAATATAGACCTTCTTGGCACCTTGCAAATTTCCATTTTCCACAGCGTGGTGTTGGTGGGTGTGCAGTGCATGCATAGGAGCATGTGCTTTTTATTTAGCTCACACTGGCAGCCATTCATGTCCAGTACCTTGATATTTTGCAGTAGGCTCCATGGAGGTTGTGAACTTCATATTCCATGTAAAGTGTAGTGAGTAAAAAATCCACTCAGTCTCATTGTTTCTTTTTTATCACTGTCTCTGCTGTTCATGATGTGGCTTGAAAATCTTTACTAGGTTTCTGCTTTCAGGTTCATTTAGGTTCCTCTGGCAACCTGAAATACAGATGTCTCCATATAAACTTGAACATTGACTTGCTGAAGAAGCTCCCAGTGGCCCCCTGCCAGCCCTGGCTATTGCCAGAAAGAAAGGCTGGGGTCTCCGCATAGGGCAAATTCTGCTGGTTGCACACCTGTCGAAGCTGCTTGGTGTGAAAAAATTTTCATTTGGATGCCAAGCAGATGGAAATGTGTTTAGTCTGGGTTTTACCACTGCTGCTGATGTTGTAGGCTGGGAAGGTGGCAACAAGGACACGCTGAAGGGGCTGCATGGAAACATCTCACAGTTACTGTTTGTAGGACCAAGCCCAGAGGCCTGGCTGGGCTTCACAAAGGGGTTCTAGTACAGGTGGGGTTAGGCCAGGCAGTCTGCAGTAGAAGCCCTGGAAGCCCCAGATCCTAGCACAGTTAGGCTTTTTGCTGTCTGGATGGAGCACTGGTTAAAGGTGGCCCTCTCTAAAAGCAGGGATTTATGCTTCTAAAAGCTCTGTTTTATGCTGGTGGAAAGGCCACTATTCATGGAGAAGACAGGAGTTATACTCTTTCTCGGCAACACAGGTAAGGAGGGGCAAGCATGGGGGCCACGCTGCTGACTTTCTGTTCTGATTCCTAGATCTCCTGCAGCTGCTGATTTTCTGCACTGCTACTCTTAGTATTCTGGGAATTGGAGTGGAAATGGCAGGACTAGCATGTTTGTTGAAAATACAATTATTGGGGCTGGCAGGGACACTATGCTGTCCCTTATCAGACGGGGAAGGAGTGCCGCTATTGGTCAGATGAGTAGAATGTTGGGGACTCAGGGTGATGGGGAAGCCCTCCAGCTTTGGTCTCTTGCATCCCAGGAGCAGACAGGTGGCTGTCACCTTATTGTACTTCTGGCCCATCAGTAAGTCCTTAATTTCTTCCAGTTATACTCCAATGACACTGTCAACTCAGTCCTCTGAAAGTCCTTGTGGTTAGGGAATGGATTACATAAGCCCTTCATCCTTTTGGCCCACATTCATCCATAGCTCTTTCATAGTGTACTACAAAATGCCCTTTTCAGTGAGACCGAGAATGAAAAATTTCTTGATTAGCTTTTTTTTTCACACTCTGTGGACAAATAGAAGAGAATATGGTATATTCTACCCAGTACCTGCTCCCATGATTCCTTGAACTTCTGTGCATCAAAAGGCAGGACTCAGATTAATAGTACATATAGGATGACTCCCAATCTTCACAACTCTTATTCAAGTCCATCATAAGTTTTGCCCTGGAAGAGTTCTGGGCCAAACTCCCAGAGGGCTGCCACAGATGGTATTTAGCTTGTTACCGAAGATGAAATCATTGCCGAAGCCCAAATCTGTCAAACTTGATGTTCATGTCAGCCTCTAAGAGCAGAGTTTCTGCCTTTAGGTCTTTATGAACAATCCACTTTTAGTCACAGTACTGCACAGCAGATCGTAACTAGCAGAATTGGACTCCATATTCTCCTCCTTTTATACTGTCACAAACCACTAGGTAATCAAACATCTCTCTTCCACTGGTGTACTCCATGGCAACACAGAGTGTTTATTCAGTCTTGGGCAGCTCAAATAATTTAATTACATTGGGATGATTCAAAGCCTTCATGGTTCCCACTTCATGGGATACTTCGTAGAGGCTGAAAGTCATGGATCCCTCTTTTCCAGTCAGGATGTGCTGGGCCAACTTCACCTTGGACAAGTTCCCCTTGGTGATGATCATAAGGAGTGATAGTTGTCAATATAGTATCTTCCTCAGCAGAGATGGCCAAGAAGCCCTGCAATATGCTAGGCTAGCTACTAGGCTTGTGGTCAAGGTGACCCAGGATAGGCTTAAAATTAGGGAAAGTTGATGAGAAATTGGGTCCAAATTATCCAAAATGAAAATTATTCCTAGGCTACCAAACTGATCTTTCTGCTGAAGTCAAAACACAATTCCAGACAAAATTCAAATTAAAAAACTAGTTAAATTAAAATGGAAAAGCAGAAGAAAGAAAGAACAAAGAAAAAGAAAAAAATGGAAAAATAACAGAGTAAAGAAAAAAAGTAAAATAAAACATGAAAATCTTACCATGCCAGTGGGATTTATTTGAAGGAGACAAGTTAACTTTGGTGGTAGCTTTTCAGATCACTGGAGACCAGCTTCTTGAACTAGAAAGACTGCAAACCCAGATAGCAAATAACTTCATGTGGCCCAACTATAGAGTAAATAGGGGCACAGAATTGCAAAACAAGGACTCCTTTTGAGGTCATACCAAGACATTTACCTATGAAGCCTGGAGATGATCAACAGTGGTTTTCTCACTTTTAAAAATAGCTTCAATGAGATATAATTCACATGCAATATAATTCATATGCTTACAGTGTATAATGCAATCATTTTTATTATGTTTACAAATATGTGAACCCATCACCAGTCAAGTTTACATTTTTATCACCTCAAACAACAAATTCAGACTCATAGGTATCATCTCCCTACCATTCCCACCACATCTCTACATCACATCCCCAGTCCTAAACTACAATTAATCTACTTTTTGTTTCTGTAAATTAAACTGACCTGTGCATATCATATGAATGAAATAATATATTATGTGGTTTCTTGTGTCTGGCTTCTTTCATTTATTTTTCGAGGTTTATTCATGTTGTAGCATGTACCAGCACTTAATTGATTTTATGAATGAATAATATTTCACTGCATGGATATACTACTTTTTAAAAATCTCAATAGCTTTAGAAGTACAAGTGGTTTTTGGTTATCTGAATGAATCATATAATTGTGAATTCTGGGCTTTTAGTGTAGCCATCACCCAAAGAGTGTACATTGTACCCAACAGGTAATTTTTCATCCCTCAGCCCCCCTTCCACTCTCCCTGCATCTGAATTCCCAATGTCCATTTTGCCACTCTGTATGCCCCTGTATGCCCATAGCTTAGCTCCCAAATATAAGTGAGAACATGCAGTATTTGGTTTTCCATTTCTGAGTTACTTTACTTAGGATAATGGCCTCCGGTTCCATCCAAGTTACTGAAAAATACATTATTTTGTTCTTTTTAATGGCTGCATAGTATTCCGTGGTATATGTATACACACACATCACATCACATTTTCTTTATTCACTTATTGGTTGATGGGCACTCAGGCTCATTCCACACCTTTGCCATTGTGAATTGCGCTGCAATAAATATATGAGTGCAGGTGTCTCTTTGATGTAATGACTTCTATTTCTTTGACAAGATACCGAGTAGTGGGATAACTGGATTAAATAGCAGGCCTACTTTTAGTTCTTTGAGAAATCTCCATATTGTTTTCCATAGAGGTTGTAGTAATTTACATTCCCACCAACAGCATATAAGCGTTCACTTCTCACAGCATCTGCAGCAAGATCTATGGTTTTTTGACTTTTTAGTAATGGCCATTCTCACTGGGGTATTCCATGGTACATGTATGGCTTTAATTTGCATTTCCCTGATGATTAGTGAGGTTAACAATTTTTTTCATGTGTTTGTGAGCCATATCTTTTGAAAAATGTCTGTTCATGTTGTTTGCCCACTTTTTCATGGGGTTGTTTGCTTTTTCCTTGCTGATTTGAGTTCCTTGTATATTCTGGATACTAGTTGTTTGTCAAATGCATAGTTTGCAAATATTTTCTCCCATTCTGTGGGTTGTCTGTTTACTCTTTTGATTATTTCTTTTGCTGTGCAGCAGCTTTTTAGTTTAATTAGGTCCCATTTATTTATTTTTAGTTTTGTTGCATTTGCTTTTGGGGTCTTAGTCATAAATCCTTATGATCTTATACATAAAAAACCCTAGCAACTCCTCTAAAAGACTCCTAGATTGGATAAATGAATTCAGAAAAATGTCAGGTTACCAAATCAGTGTATGCAAATCAGTAGCACTGCTATACATCAATAATGAGCAAGCTGAGAATCAAATTAAGAACTCAGTCCCATTTACAATAGCAGGAAAAAAGAAAAAAAAATACACCTAGAAATATACTTAACCAAGGAAGTGAAAGATCTCTACAAGGATAATTCAAAACACTGATGAGTAGACTGAAGGGAGGCAGAGAAACATGGTAAAATAGGAGGCTCCAACCATTGTCCCACCCACAAGGATACCAAGTTAACAACTATCTACACAAGAGAAAAACACCTTCATAAGGACAAAAAATCAGGTAAACCCTCAAAGTACCTGCTTTTCACTTCCTATCACTGAAAGAGGCACTGAAGAGGTAGAAAAAAAACAGTTATGAATTGATGATGCCACACTTTCCCCACCCCTGGCAGTGGTGGCCTGGTGCAGAGAGCATCTTTGGGCTCTGAGGGAGGGAGAACACAGCAATTGTGAGGCATTGAACTCAGCTCTATCCTGCTAGAGCAGAAAGGAAAACCAGACAAAACTCAGCAGATGCCCACCCATGGAAGAAGCATTTAAACCAGTCCCAGCCAGAGGGGAATCCCCAATCCCAGCAGTCTAAACTTGAGTTCTTAAAGTCTCGCCACCACAGGCTAAAGTTCTCTGGGCCTTTAAGTCAATTTGAAAGGCAGTCAAAGCACTGCAACTCTTAGGCAAGTCCTACTACTGAAGTGGGACCAGAGACATTGGACTGGGGAGACACAGGATCTACAGAGATACCAGCTGGGATGGCTAAGGAAGGGCTGGCATCACCCTTCCCCTAGGCCCAGCCTGCACAGCTTCTGGCTCCAAAAGAGACCCCTTCCTTCCACTTGAGGAGAGCAGAGGGAGGAGTGGGGAGAACTTTGTCTTGCATCTTGGATACCAGCTCAGTGACAGCAAAATGGGGCACCAGTCAGTGTCATGTGGGCTTCATTCCAGGCCTTAGCTCCTGGGTGAAATTTATAAACACACCCTGGGCCAGAAGGAAACCCACTGCCTTACAGGGAAGGACCCCATCATGGCAGCGTGGCAGCATTTATCACCTGTCAACTGAAGAGCCCTTGGGCCCTGAATAACCAGCAGCGATACCTAGATACTACGCTGAGGGCCTTGGGTCAACCTCTGAGATTTGCTAGTTTCAGGTGAGACTTGGCACATTACCACCTGTGGTGGCTACAGGGCAAAATTCTTTCTGCTTGAGAAAAGCAAAGGGAAAAGTAAAGAGGACTTTGTCTTGTACTTTAGGTACTACCATAGCCACAGGGGTTAGAGCACCAAGCAGGCACTTAGGGTCCCTAGTTCCAGGACTTGACTCTTGGACAGCATTTCTGAAGCTGTGATGGGCCACAGGGGAGCCCACTGCCCTGAAGGATGAGTCCCAAGAAGAGCCCTTAGACCTTAAGGGAACATCACAGATAGTCCAGCAAGACTACCTGTGGCCTGTGGTGGTGGTGGTGGTGGCTACGAGATGAGGCTCTTCTCCTTTTGGAAAGGGGAGAGGAGAGTGAGAAGAACAGTGTCTTGTGGTTTCAGTGCCAGCTTAGCCACAGTACAATAGAACATGAGGTAGACATCTAAGGATTTGATTCTAGTCCCTGACTCCCCGACAGCAACTCTTGACCAACCTAGGGCCTGGGGGAACTTGCTACTCTGAAGGGAAGGACATAGGCCTGACTGGCTTTTCCATCTGCTGATTGTACAGTTCCAGGGCGTTGAGCAAACATAGGCGATAGCCAGAGACTCGTTAACTCGTTACAGCAGGTCTTGGGTGAGACCCAGTGTTGTGGTGGCTTCAGGTTTAATCCAGTGCAGTCCTACTAGTGGTGGCCAGAGGGCTGCTTGTGTCACTCCACCCCCAGCTTTAGGTGTCTTAGAACAGAGAGAAACTCAAATTTGTTAGGGCGAATGTAACGGAAAAGAACAAGAGTCTCCGCCTGGTAATCCAAAGTATTCACTGAGACCTTGTCCAAGACCATCAAGGTAGTACCTCTGCAAGTCTACAAGAACCAAAGCAATATTGGGCTTGAGATGTCCCACAAAGGAGATATAGTTTAGATCACAACACCCAAGTTCTTTCAAATATCTGCAAAACCTTCCCAAGAAGGATGGGTACAAACAAGCCCAGATAGTGAAGACTACAGTAAGTGGTGATTTTTTTAATACCCAGACACCAAAGAATATCTACTAGCATCAACGCCATCCAGGAAAATATTATCTCACCAAATTAAATAAGCCACCAGGGACCAGACCAATTCTGGAGAAACAGAGATATGTGGCCTTTCAGACAGATAATTCAAAAGTGCTGTGTTGAGGAAAATCTAGGAAATTCAAAATAATACAAAGAAGGAATTCAGAATTCTGTCAGATAAATTTAACAAACAGATTGCATTAATTATAAAGAATCAAGCACAAATTCTGGAGCTGAAAAATGCAATTTGCATACAGAATAATGCATTAGAGTCCTTTAATAGCAGAATGGATCAAGGAGAAGAAAGAATTAGTGAGCTTGAATACAGGTTGTTTGAAAATACACAATAAGAGGAGACAAAAAAAAAAAGACAAAAAAACAATGAAGCACACATGCAGAAGCTAGAAAATAGCCTGAAGGGGCAAATCTAAGAGTTATTGACCTTAAAGAGGAGGTAGAGAAACAGATAGGGATATTAAACTTCATTCAAAGAGACAATAACAGAGAACTTCCCAAACCTAAAGAACGATGTCAATATCAAAGTACTAGAAGGATATAGAATACCAAGCAGATTTAACCCAAATAAGACCACCTCAAGACATTTAATAATCCAACTCCAAAATATGAAGGATAAAGAAAAAGAATCCTAAAAGCAAAAAGTGAAAAGAAAAGAATCCTAAAAGCAGCAAGTGAAAAGAAACAAATGGAGCTCTGCTATGTCTACCAGCAGAGTTTTCAGTGGAAACCTTACAGGCCAGGAGAGAGTGGCATGACATATTTAAAGTGCTGAATGAAAAAAAAAAAAAACTTGTATCCTACAATAGTATATCTAACAAAAATGTCCTTCAAAAATAAAGGAGAAATGAAGACTTTACCAGACAAACAAAAGCTTAGGGATTTCATCCACACCAGACCTGTCTTATAAGAAATGCTAAAGAGAGTACTTTAATCAGAATGAAAAGGATATTAATGAGCAATAAGTAATCACCTGAAGGTGCAAAACTCACTGGTAATAATAAATAAACAGAAAAAAACACATGATACATGATACTATAACACTGTAACTGTAGTGTATAACCAATTCTTATTTTATGTAGAAAGACTAAATGATGAAACAAAAATAATAATTACAACTTTTCAAGAGATATGCAGTACAATAAGACATAAGTATAAACAACAAAAGTTAAAAAGTGGGGGATAAAGCTAAGGCATCTGGTTTTTGATTAGTTGTCTTTTTGCTTGTTTGTTTATGCAAACACTGTTATGTTATTATCAGGTTAAAATAATGGGTTATAAGATAGTATTTGCAAGCCTCATGACAACCTCAAACCAAAAAACACACAATGGATACACAAATAATAAAAAGCAATAAACTAAGTCACATTACCAGAGAAAATCACTGTCTCTAAAGGCAGACAGGAAGAAAAGGAAGAAGAAAGAGAAGAACATAAAACAACCAGAAAAAAAATAACAAAATGGCAGGAGTAAGTCCTTACTTAGCAATAATAACATTGAATGTAAATGTACTAAACTGTCTGATTGAAAGACACAGAGTAACTGAATGAATGAAATAACAAGACCCATTGGTCTATTGCATACAAGAAACATACTTCACCTGTAAAGACACATATAGACTGAAAATTAAGAGATGGGAAAAGATTTTCCATACCAATGGGAAAAAAAAAGACAAACGGTAGCTTTACTTATATCAGACAAAATATATTTGCAGACCAAAACTATAAGAAGAGATTTTAAAAGGTCACTATATAATGATAAAATGGTCAATTCAGCAAGAGGATATAACATTTTTAAATATATATGTGCCTAATACTGGAGACTCGGACATATAAAGCAAATATTATTATAGCTAAAGAGAGAGATAGGCCCCAATACAATAACTGGAGACCTCAGCACCACACTTTTAGCATTGGACAGATCTTCCAGACATAAAATCCCCATGAAAATATTGAACATAATCTGTTCTATGGACCAAATAAATTCAATAGATAGCTAAGGAACATTGCATCTAAGAGCCACAGAATACGCATTCTTTTCCTCAGCACAAGGATCGTTCTTAAAGATAGGTTATATGTTAGGTCACAAAGCAAGTCTTAAAACATTCAAAAAATTGAAATAATATCAAGCATCTTCTCTGACTAAAATAGAATAAAATTTGAAACCAATAACAAGAGGAAGTTTACATAAATACGTGGAAATAAAACTCCTGAATGACCAGTGGGTCAATGATGACATTAGGAAGGAAATGGAAAAACTTCTCGAAACAAATGACAATGAAAACACAGCATACCAAAACCGATGGGATACAGTAAAACAGCGTTAAGAGGGAAGTTTGTAGCTATAAGTGCCCACATCAAAAAACAGAAAAATTTCAAATAAACAATCCGATGATGCATCGTAAAGAACCAGAAAAGCAAGAGCAATAAACCTGAATTAGTAAAAGAAAAGAAATAATAAAGATCAGAGTGGAAGTAAATTAAACTGAAAGGAAGAAAGCAATACAAAAGATCAATGAAACAAAAAGTTGATTTACTGAATTAACAAAATTTACAAACCTTTAGCCAGACTAAGAAAAAAAGAGAGAAGATCTAAATTTAAAAAATCAGAAATGAAAAAGGACACCTTACAACTGCTACTGCAGAAATTCAAATTATCATTAGTGGCTACTATGAGCAACTATATGCTAAGAAATTGGAAAATCTAGAAAAACTGTACAAGTTTCTAGACATATACAACACATACAACCCATCAAATAAAGTGAACAGTCTGAAAAAGAAATAAAAATGTTGTCCTATTTACAATAGCGACAAATAAAAACAAATGCCTGAAAAAACAAATAAGTGTTGAGATTCAGAATGTAATAAAAAGTCTCCAAGTAAAGAAAAGCCCAAGATGTGATGGCTTTACTGCTGAATTCTACCAAACATTGACAGAAGAGCTACTCAATTCTACTCAAACTATTCTGAAACATAGAGGAGGAGGGAATACTTCCAAGCTCATTCTACAAGGCCAGTATTATTACCCTGATACCAAAACCAAAGACACAATGAAGAAAAACTATGGGCAATGTATTTGATAAATATTGATGCAAAAATCCCCAACAAAATACTAGCAAACTAAATTCATCAATATATTAGAAAAATCATTCATTATGACCAAGAGGGATGTATCTCCAGGATGTAAGGAAGGTTATTATTTCAGTTGATGCTGAAAAAGCACTTGATAAAGTTCAACATCCTTTTATGATAAAAAGAAAACCTCAAAAAATTGGGAATAGAAGAAACATAACATAATAAAAGCCATATACAACAGACTCACAGCTAGTAACATACTGAATGGGGAAAAAACTGAAAGCCTTTCCTTTCAAATCTAAAACACAACAAGGATGACCACCTTCACCACTGTTATTCAACATAGTACTGTAATTCTTAGCTAGAGCAATCAGATAAGAGAAAAAAATAAAGGACATCCAAATTGTAGTGAAAGTAGTCAAACCATCCTTGTTTGCAGATGATATGATCTTATATTTGAAAAAATCTAAAGACTCCACAAGAAAACTATTAAAACTGACAAACAAATTTAGTAAAGTTGCAGAATATAAAATCCTTACACAAAAATTAGTAGCACTTCTATATGCCAAAGTGAACAATCTGAAGAAGAAATAAAAATTTTGTCCTATTTACAATAGTGACAAATAAAAATAAATGCCTAGGAATTAACCAAAGAAGTAAAAGAGCTCTACAATGAGAACTATAAAAGACTCATGAAAGAAATTAAAGAGAACATTGAAAAATTTAAAAAATTCCATGTTTATAAAGTCAAATAATCAATAATGTTAAAATGTTCATACTACCCAAAGCAATCTATAGATTTAATGCAATCCCTATCAAAATACCCATAACATTCTTCATAGAAATTGAAAAAATAATCCCCAAATTAATATGAAACAACAAGAGACCCAAAATAGACAAAGCTAATCTAGGCCAAAAGAATAAAACTAGAGGAATCACATTACCTGACATCAAAGTATACTACAGAGCTATAGTAACCAAAATAACATGATCTTGACATAAAAGCAGACAAATACACCAGTGGAACAGAATAGAGAGCCTAAAAACAAATTCACACACCTACAGCGAACTCATATTTAACAAAGGTGCCAAGAACATACACTGGGAAAACAACAACAACAACAACAAAAAGAAATAGTCTCTTTAATACATAGTGCTGGGAAAACTGGATATCCATATGCAGAAGAATGAAACTAGACCCGTCTCTCACCATATACAAAAATCAAATCAAAATGGATCGAAGACTTAAATCTAAGATCTCAAACTATAAAACTGCTAAAAGAAAACATTGGGGAAATTTTCCAGGACATTGGTCTGGGCAAAAATTTCTTCAGCAATAACCCACAAACACAGGCAACCAAAGCAAAAATGGACAAACAGGATCACATCAAGTTAAAAAGCTTCTGCACAGCAAAGGAAACAATCAACTAAGTTAAGAGACTACCAACAGAATGGGAGAAAATATTTGCAGACTTCTCATCTCACAGGGAATTAATAATCAGAATATGAAAAGAACTCAAACAACTCTAGAAAAAAATCTAATAATTCAATTAAAAATGAGCCAAAAATTTGAGGAGACATTTCTCAAAAAAAAAAAGACATACAAATAGCAAACAGGCATATGAAATGGTTCTCAACATCATTGATAATCAGAAAAATACAACTCAAAACTACAATGAAATATTATCTCACTCCAGTTTAAATGGCTTATATCCAAAGACAGGCAATAACAACTGCTGGTGAAGGTGTGAAGAAAAGGAAACCCTCATACGCTATTAGTGGGAATGTAAATTAGTACAACCACTATGGAGAACAGTTTGGAGGTGGCTCAAATAACTAAAAATAGAGCTACCATATGATCCAGCAATCCCACTGCTGGGTATTTACCCTAAAGAAAGGAAATCAGTTTATCAAAGAAATATCTGCACTCCTATGTTTGTTGCAGCACTGTTTACAATAGCCAACATTTGGAAGCAACCTAAATGTCCATCAATATATGAATGGATAAAGAAAATGTGGTACTTATACACAATGTAGTACCACTCAGCCATAAAAAAAGAATGAGATCCAGTCATCTGCAACAACATGGATAGAACCGGAGATCATTATGTTAAGTGAAATAAGCCAGGTGCAGAACAGACATTCCATGTTCTCACTTATCTGTGGGATCTAAAAATCAATACAATTAAACTCTTGGACATAGGGAATGGAAGGATGGTAACCAGAGGTTGTGAAGGGTAGCTGGGGGTTTAAGCATAGACAGGGATGGTTAAAGGGTACACAACAAAATACTTAGAAAGATGAATAAGACCTACTATTTTAGCACAACAATTATTCATCTTTATTTATTTAAAAATGTACAATTATTATTGATTATAAGAACTAAAAATAACTAAAAGAGTGCAATTGGATTGTTGCAACACAAAAGATAGACACTTGAGGAAATGAATCCCCCATTTTCCGTGATGTGATTGTTTCACATTTCATGCCTATATCAAAACATTTTACATACCTTATAGATATATACACTTACTATGTACCCACTAAAGCTAAAAGTTCAAAATTAAAAAAAAAAAAAACACAGCTCGGGAGGCTGAGGCAGGAGAATGGTGTGAACCCAGGAGGCGGAGCTTGCAGTGAGCCAAGATTGTGCCACTGCACTCCTGCCTGGGCGACAGAGCAAAACTCCATCTCAAAAAGAAAAACAAAAACAAAAACAAAAAAACGCTAATGAAAGATATCATAGATGTCATGAACAAATTTAAAAACATCCCATGCTCGTGAATTGGAACAATCAATATCAGGAAAATGATCATACTTCTCAAAGTAATCTATAGACACAATGTAACTTCTATAAAAATAGCAACATCATTTTTCACATAATTAGAAAAAAACAACCCTAAAATTTATATGGAACCAAAAAAGGAACCAAATGGCCAAAGCAATCCTAAGCAAAAAGAACAAATCTGGAGACATACATTATCCTACTTCAAATTATACTACAAGGTTATAGTAACCAAATCAGCATGGTACTAATATAAAAGCAGAAACATA